>NW_003315930.1:0-171286 GCF_000001405.40 Homo sapiens
AAACACTGAGGGCAGGAAAAGATGGATGTCTGTGCTCTAGCAATCAGGTAAGAAGGGCCAAATTCTTCCTTTCTCTACATTTCTGTTCTATTCAGGCCCTCAATAAATTGGATGATGCCCACCCACATTGGGGAGGGCAAACTGCTGTCCTAAATTCCCTGATTCAATGCTAGTTTCATCTGCAAACAACTACACAGACACACCAGGGAATAGCGTTTAGTTAAATATCTGGGCATCCTGTGATCAGTCAAGTTGACACATAAAATTAACCATCACAACACATTTTAATTATTTATTCATCTATTGATAAACATCTATTGATTCCACCTTTTGACTATTGTGAATAAGGCTGCTATGAAAATTGATGGACAAATACCTGTTTGAGTCCTTGTGTTAGTCTGCCCTTACATGGCTAATAAAGACATACCCGAGACTGGGTAATTTAAAAATGAAAGAGGTTTAATTGACTCACAGTTCAGCATGGCTGGGGAAGCCTCAGGAAACTCACAATCATTGCAGAAAGGGAAGCAAACGTGTCCTTCTTCACATGTTGGCAGCAAGGAGAAATGCCTGGCAAAAGGGAGAAAAGCCCCATATAAAACCATCAGATCTCATGAGAACTCATTCACGACCATGAGAACAGCATGAGGATAACTGCCTCCCACTAGGTCACTCCTATGACATGTGAGGATGATGGGAAGTACAATTTAAGATGAGATTTTGGTGGGGAGACAGCCAAACCATATCATTCTGCCCCGGCCCTTCCCAAATCTCATGTCCTCACTTATCAAAACGTAATCATACCCTTCCAACAGTCCCCCAAAGTCTTAACCCATTCCAGCATTAACTCAAAAGTCCGAGTCCAAAGTCTCATCTGAGACAAGGTAAGTCCCTTCCACCTATGAGCCTGTAAAATCAAAAGCAAGTTAGTTACTTCCTTGATACAATGGGGGTACAGGCATCGGGTAAATACACCCATTCCAAATTGGAGAAATTGGCCAAAACAACAGGGTTACAGGCCCCATGAAAGTCTGAAATCCAATAGAGCAGTCATTAAATTTTAAAGTTCCAAAATGATCTCTTTAACTCCAAGTCTTACGTGCAAGACACACTGATGCAAGAGGTGGGCTCCCATGGCCTTGGGCAGCTCCGCCCCTGTGGCTTTGCAGGGTAATGCCCACTTCCCTGCTGCTTTCATGGCTGGCATTAAGTGTCTGTGGCTTTTCCAGGTACATGGTACAAGCTGTCGGTAGATCTACCATTCTGGGGTCTGGAGAACAGTGGCTCTCTTCTCACAACTCCCCTAGGCAGTGCCCCACTGGGGATTCTGTGTGGGGGCTCTAACCTCACATTTCCCTTCCACACTGTCCTAGCAGAGATTCTCCATGAGGGCTCTGACCCTACAGCAAACTTCTGCCTGGACGTCCCAGAATTTTCATACATCCTCTGAAATCTAGGTGGAGGTTCCCAAACCTCAATTCTTGTCTTCTGCACACTTTCAGGACCAACACTACATGGAAGTTGCCAAGGCTTGGGGCTTGCATCCTCTGAAGCAACAGCCTGAGCTGTCTGTTGGCCCCTTTTAGCTACACCTGAGATGCAGAGCACCAAGTCCCGAGGTTGCACAGAGCAGCAGGGGGGCCCTGGGCCCAGCCCATGAAACCATGTTTCCCTCCTAGGCCTCCCAGCCTGTGACAAGAGGTGCTGCTGTGAAGTTCTCTGAAATGCCCTGGAGACTTTTTCCCTATTGACTTGGTGATTAATATTTGGCTCCTTATTAGTTATGCAAATTTCTGCAGCCAGCTTGAATTTCTCCCCAGAAAATGGTTTCTTTTTTTTTCCCTATTGCATCGTCAGGCTGCAAATTTCCCAGACTTTTATGCTCTGCTTCCTCTTGAATGCTTTGCCGCTTAGAAATTTCTCTCCCCAGGTACCCTAAACCATCCCTCTCAAGTTCAAAGTTCCACAGATCTCTAGGGCAGGGGCAAAATGATGCCAGTCTCTTTGAATAGCAAGAGCGACCTTTACTCTAGTTTCCAACAGGTTCCTCATCTCCATCTGAGACCACTTCAGCCTGGACTTCATTGTTCATGTCACTATCAGCATTTTGGTCAAAGCCATTCAACAAGTCTCTGCTCTGGGAAGTTCCAAACTTTCCCACATCTTCCTATCTTCTGGGCCCTCCAAGTCTCTAGGAAGTTCCAAACCTTCCCACATTTTCCTGTCTTCTTCTGAGCCCTCCAAACAGTTCCAACCTCTGCCTGTTACCCCATTCCAAAGTCGCTTCTACATTTTTGGGTATCTTTACAGCAGCGCCCCACTATCTGCAGTACCAATTTACTGTATTAGTCCATTCTCATGCTGCTAATAAAGACATACCTGAGACTGGGTAATTTATAAAGGAAAGGGGTTTAATTTACTCACAGTTCAGCATGGCTAGGGAAGCCTCAGGAAACTTGCAATCATGGCAGAAGGGGAAACAAACATGTCCTTCTTCACATGGTGGCAGCACAGAGAAGTGTCGAGCAAAAGGGGGAAATGCCCCATATAAAACCATCAGATCTCATGAAAACTCACAATCATGAGAATAGCATGAAGGTAACCATCCTCATGATTAAATTACCTCCCACCAGGTCTCTCGCATGACATGTGGGGATTACGGGAGCTACAATTCAAGATGAGATTTTGGTGAGGACACAGCCAAACCATATCAGTCCTTGTTTTCAATGTATCTAGAAGTGAAACTGCTGGATCATATGGTAATTCTCTTTAAATTTTGAGGAACAGCCATACTGTTTTCCACAGCATCTGCACTGTTTTACATTCTCACTAGCAATACACAAAGGCTCCAGTTTCTCCACATTCTCATCAACACTTCTTTTTGTTTTTTTGATAATAGTGATCCTAATGGGTATGAAATGGTTAATCAGTTCTATTTTAAGTGATATCCATAATAGGCTTGTGTCACATTTGCAGTGGTCCATCGTCTTCTGAAGAGCTTTTCTAAGTATGGGAAACTTCCATGTTATACTTTCTGCCCTTGCAATACAGAACTCAGATTTCAAATCCCCAGCTTCCCTTTCAGCTAGAATAAAATCACGTGGCCTGGACTCTACTAATCAGATGCACCCCTGTGAGATTTAAATTCCCAAGTAACGAGCAAAAGATATAAGCTCTTTTCACTGTTTTCATTTTGTAGGATTGTGTGATGGCAATGGAGTCTTAGTTTTGGGGACATTAACAGTTGCAATAGGTCCAGTGCAGTCAGGTTCCAGGTCTCTAGGGTGACAGTAGCATTTGTTTATCAAGCCATTTCTGTGGCATGATTTTGGACTGTTCCTGGAAGCTTAGCATCAATCCAGTCTAGTTTAAAACTTCAATTGAATAACTAATTGAATATTTGTCTTCACCCTGCCCCATGCCAGCAGCTAGGCTTCTACTCTAGAGCCTTCGAGTGGGGAAAGGGCATTGTCTTCACATTCATTCTTCTCTCTTTTTCCTGTCCTCTTAGTTTCTGCAGTGTAGGGGCAGGGAGGATGGATGAAAAAAATAAAGAATATTCACCTAACTGGGTGTTATTGTAGTCCGCTCTCAGATATCATTTCCCTTCTGTATTTAGGCACATGTGTAAATACCAGCTCGCTGGTGGTGGACTTTTTTTTAATGTATGGAAGTGGCCAGAAAACTGTAGAATCTGCACAAGATATCATTAAAGAACAGCCAAGGGAGATTCATGAAAGCATGATTGAAAGCTGTAGGTGAACAAAAATCAAGCCAGCTTGCATTCACACCTCTCTGAGTTCAGTCTTTTTTTTTTTTTTTTTTTTTTTTTTGAGACAGATTCTCGTTCTGTCGGTCAGGCTGGAGTGCAGTGGCACAATCTCGGCTCACTGCAACCTCCATCTCCCAGGCTCAAGTAATTCTTTTGCCTCAGCCTCCCGAGTAGCTGAGATTACAGGAGTGTGCCACCACACCTGGCTAATTTTTGTATTTTTAGTAGAGATGGAGTTTCACCATGTTGGTCAGGCTGGTCTCGAACTCCTGACCTCAGGTAATCCACCCGCCTCAGCCTCCCAAAGTGCTGGGATTACAGGCTTGAGCCACTGCGCCTGGCTGCATTCAGACTACTTAACATGCTAATTACTGAAGGTGCAGCCATTTGAGGGCCCTGTTCTTACATGCGCGGGGGGCGGGCGTGTCGGTCTTGGTTCCAGCTGTTCACAGTCACTGGACCCATCTCCTGGCTTGGGACATACACTCAGACATGACCTTTGTCACCTCCCTCCCCCAGTTTTGTCCAGTAGTGGAATATCCCATAGCCTTCAACTACTGGAGTCTCTTACTTGATGGGTCATACTTTTAGGTGGGGCACTAGCAAGCAGTTTAAGCCTAGCTATTTGTGGATCCACATGAAACTTATGCATCTTTGTTCCACCAAATAGGGTAAGTATTGACTACTGCACATTTGCATTCTCTCTGTTCTGTCACTTTTTTCCCCTTTCTTTTTCTTCTGTACATAAAGATACAGGGCACAGATCAGCAAGGGCACTGTCTAAACAGAACCCAAACTAAAGAATAAGATGTCATAAGATGCTAGATCTCTAAGAGTGATAGATGGAGCCCTTTTTACATCGGGGGAATTTGGAAAAAGGCAGTTTTCTTTTTCTCTCCCAAGGGAAGAGGTGGGAAAAGCCACTATTCTCATCCTTCACCAGCAACACCCAACTTGCAGGATACTTTCTTCTCTCTCTAATCTCTCCTATACAGACTGGAGATGGTGGAAGAAAGAGTGGTGCAGGAGCTGTAGGAATAATTGGGGGAGCCCATTTGGCCACTTCTTTAAAATCCCTGGAAGAATTGGCTGGCCTTAATTAGTTTCACTTATCTTTAAAATCTGGGGCATTGCACACCTCTCTTATCCACGGGCAATAAGTCATATTACACTCAGCATTCTATTACATCCACTCCCTAGATCTTTTTTTCTGAGTAAAAGCCCATTTATTTATAGTCTCCTTCCAAAATTCCATATCTTTGAACAAGATTATTCTTGTGTCTCCAGTGTTTTATCTTTGTGGCTATAATTTTTGTGTCCAGGGGGGTATTAGTCTGTTTTCACACTGCTATCAAGGCACTGCTTGAGACTGGGTAATTTATAAAGAAAAGAAGTTTAATTGACTCACAGTTCTGCATGGCTGTGGAGGCCTCAGGAAACTTACAATCATGGCAGAAGATGAAGGAGAAGCAAGCACCTTCTTCACAAGGCACCAGGAGAGAGAGCAAAAGAACGAGGACGTGGCACACTTAAAACCATCGGCTTTCATGAGAACTCCCTCACTGTCACTAGAACTGGGATTATTAGGCTTTTTCCTATAGAGTTGTTCAAGCTCCTTATATATTCTGGTTATTAATCCCTTGTCAGATGGGTAGTTCATAAATATTTTCTCCCATTCTGTGGGTTGTCTCTTCACTTTGTTGATTGTTTCCTTGCTGTGCAGAAGCTTTTTAACTCAGTGTGATCCCATTTACTTTGCTTTGGTTGTCTGTGCTTGTGGGGTATGGCTCAATAAATTTTTTCCCAGAACAATGTCATGGAGATTTTCCTCAATGTTTTCTTGTAGTAGTTTCATAGTTTGAGGTCATAGATTTAAGTCTTTAATCCATTTTGATTTGATTTTTGTATATGGCGAGAGATAGGGGTCTGGTTTCATTCTTCTGCATATGGATATACAGTTTCCCCAGCACCATTTGTTGAAGAGACTGTCTTTTCCCCAGTGTATGTTCTTGGCACATTTGTCAAAAACGAATTCATTGTAGGTGTTTGGCACATATATTGAAAATAAGTTCACTGTAAGTGTGTGGATTTGTTTCTGGGTTCTGTATTGGTCTATGTGTCTGTTTTTATGTCTTACCATACTGTTTTGGTTACTACAGGTCTGTAGCATAATTTGAAGTCAGGTAATATGATTCCTCTAGTTTTGTTCTTTTTGCTTAGGATAGCTTTGGGTATTCTGGGTCTTTTGTGGTTCCATATGAATTTTTGGACTTTTTAATATTTCTGTAAAGAATCTTATTGGTATTTTGATAGAGATTTCATTGAATCTGTAGATTGCTTTGGGCCCTCATGCTTTTAATATAGTAATAGTGTAATTTTGCTTAGATCAATGATCAGTGTTTATATTATTCTAAGTGTAACTGGCTTTTGAGTGTGACTCACTTTTGCTCTTATAAAGCTTTTAACATCTCGTTCCCATTGTTCTGATATTTCACAATGATATGCCTTGCTATGAATCTATTTTCATTCATTGTTCTGAGAACTTAGTGAGACTTTCAGTCTGGAAATTCATGTATCTGAATTCAGAAAATTTCCTTAAATTATTTCTATTTTTTTCTTATTCACCTTATTCTCTTCTTAAATCCTCATAATCCAGACATTGATCTTCCTAGACTATTTATATAATGTTTTATAAAATAATGTTTTATATTTTCTATATAAAAACACAAATAAACATACATTTATATAACTTTTCCTTTTATTTTTCTTCTCTTTGCTTTTTGCTCTACTTTCTGAGAGGTTGGTTCAACCTCAACTTCCAACTTTTCTATTGAATGTTTGTGTTCTACTATCAGGTTTTTCTTTTCTTTTCCTTCCTTCCTTTCCTTTCCTTTCTTCTTTTCTTTTCCTTCCTTCCTTTCTCTCTCTCTCTCTGTCTCTCCTTCCTCCCTTCCCTCCCTTCCTCCCTCTCTCCCTCCCTTCCTCCCTTCCTTTTCTTTATTTCCTTCTTTCTTTTTTTTTAGACAGGTCTTACTCTGTCACCCAGGCTAGAGTCCAGAGGCATGATCTCGGCTCACTGCAACCTCCGCCTCCCAGGCTCAAGCGATCCTCCTGCCTCAGCCTCCTGAGTAGCTGGGACTACAGGCACACACCACTATGCCCAGCTAATTTTTGTATTTTTGGTAGAGATGAGTTTCACTGTGTTGGCCAGGCTGGTCTCAAACTCCTGGCCTTAAGCAATCCGCCTGCCTTGGCCTCCCAAATGCTGGGATTACAGGTGTGAGCCACTGTGCCAGGCCTCAGGTTTTTAATTTCTAAGAGCTCTTTTATGTTCTCTGAATGTTCTTTTTTAAATAGCATTCTGACCTCATCCCTGGGATTCAGTGTCATAGCTTCTCTCTTTGAAGATATTAATAATAGTTTTATTTTGAAGTTTTCTCTTCCCTTCATAATTTCCCTCTGAGTCATTTTTATCTGTTTGTGGTTTGTTTGCTTGATCTTTATAAGTTAGAGGCATTCTTCATCCGTCTCATAATAGGTGTCTGCTCTTGTTTACTTGTGGGTGAGTAAAAAGCTGATTGGAAGATCTGAGTGAGTTTTATTGGAGGGTGATCTGGCTGGGTCATTTGTTGGGGTTAACCTTAATATTGGTATGTGTAAGTTTTTCCTTTTGGGCTGGTCAAATCCCCCAGAGATGACTCTTCCATTTTTCCAAATCACCGTGGAAGCTCAGTAGATGAACAGGACTTAGCGCAGGGGTCTTGGCCTTCAGCGTCTACATATTCATTTACTCCTTCTATTCCTTCTGGCTTCAGTGTGGGATTCCTGCTCTTAACTCAGTCTTTGCCCTCAAAGTACAGGGTACCTCTGTTTTACCCTCTCCAGACAGTAAACATCCTTTTGCTAGGATGGGGAAGAGAACTCATGCAAGAGTGTGGGGTGTTGAGGGAATCTAGAAAGCTGGTGATTCTCAAACAACTTTTCTAATCCTCCTTATTTTAGGCCACCCTCTTTATTCCATTTCCAGTGTTACCTGGTGTCACCATTTCCTGGAGTTTAGATTATGTTAGGAAAAAAAAATAAAACTGAGTCAGCCTAGAATGTTTCTTTGACATGTTGGGTTAGTTTATTTACCCATCTTCTTTCCGGCTTCCAGAAGTCAGTTGTTGTCTCTTCTCCCATTTCCCATATTCTTAAAGGTTCATGCATTTCTAAATAATATATATTCATTGTAGTTTTATATGATTTCTGGAAAAGCAAAATTTGGATTTGTGGTTCAATCCACCATCTTTACTCAGAACTTTAATCTAAAAGTCTACATCAAACAGAAGTATCCTTTATGACTGATGTTTTTAAAAAGAAGGAGAATTGACCTCTCACAAGTCTTTGCTAAAAAAAAAGTTTCTAAAGGATATAATTTTAAAATAAAGGAATTGAACCTTGAGGGAAGGGGTGGAATGCAAGAATCAGTAGACTTGGGAACCTGGCAGAGATTCCTGTGGGTGCCACCTTTGGGGGAGCTATTTTCTCTTGGAAGAATTCAGTGATATTGCTGGCCCAGTATGGAAGCTTAGAGAGATGCAAAATGTAACCCCCCCACTGCAAGGCATTACCATGGCTAGAGTCACAGAAGTCATTGCAGTCCTATTGCCTTGTTTTGGAGTGAAGCCTACAGGTGAGGGAACAAATTTCCCCATGGAGCATCCCCATCCCCCACCACCATGGGAGAAATTCCGAGTGCTGTGGCTTTTTAGATAGCCAGGAGTCTATTTGAATTTGCTATGGGTGGCTGAATAAATAAACCTTCCACATCCCAAAAGAGTTTTAAAAATGTGTACGTAAAATTGTAAAATGCATAGTGTAAAAGTAATCTTTTCAGTTTGGGGAGGAGTTGTAGGCACTTCCAGCTGTTCATAAAACAAGATGCTCCACTTTAAAGTTCCCTCTCTGTTTCTTTTTTCAGAAGACACTTTTATTAGATACAGACAGACTTGCCCCTCAGGCTATAACCGGTGCCCAAGATAATTTCCTTTAGCCTCTAGAAAAGTAATCTTGTAAGATGCCTCTTCTTAGACACCGTTCCATTTTGTTTGCTCCACCTCGAGTATTATCAAATGAAGAATTCTATTTTAATCCTAAAATTATTTTCCCATTACTATTTTAATGTCCTAGTTGTTGGTATTTATAATAGTATGCATTCAATAGGTTAAATGTTTCTTCTGGATGGGTGTGGTGGCTCATGCCTGTAATCCCAGCACATTGGGAGGCCGAGGTAGGCAGACCACTTGAGGTCAGGAGTTTGAGACCAGCCTTGCCAACCTGGTGAAACCCTGTCTGTACTAAAAATACAAAAATTAGCCAGGCAAGGTGGTGTGTGCCTGTAATTCCAGCTACTCGGGGGGCTGAGGCACGAGAATCGCTTGAACCAGGGAAGTGGAGGTTGCAGTGAGCTGGGATTGCACCACTGCACTCCAGCCTGGATCACAGAGCGAGACTGTCTCCAAGTAAATAAATGAATGAATGAATGAATGTTTCTTCTAATCTGATAGAACACCAATGCTACTAATTGTCCAATTTTCATTTCTAGTTTCTGTGCCTCCCACCCTGAGGCAGGACACTATAGAAAAGGCTATTTTGGTGGATAGACTGTGTATCAATTTCAACTACAAGCCTGGACCTGTGAAAAACTTGAGTTGTTAGAAAATTAATAATAAATATTTATATAGTACTTGGCATGCCAGACACTCTTTTGAGCACTCTAACAATATAAACTCAATTAGTACTCATGATCTCCATGTGAGGTAGTGACTATTATGATTTCCATCTTACAGATGAGGAAACTGAGGCACAGAGAGACCAAATAACGTGCCCTAGGTTCATAGATAGCAAGTGGCAGAGCTACAAGTTGAACCCAGGTGGTCTTGCTCCAGTGGCCATGGTCTCAATGACAAAATCATGCTCCCATTCCTGGTATAACACTTTCTCACTCTCTTTAAACAGCTTTTTTTTCCTTCTGTTAATAGTAACAGTATTTAATTTTGTTGATGATGAAAGGATTAAGGCAGTGTGTTCTTAATCCCAGCTCAGTAGAATCACCTTCAAGAGACTTAAAGAAATACCAATACTTTGCTTCTATCCCAGAAATTATTATCTGATGAGTGCCAGTCTTTGTATTAAAAAGAAACAATTCCTCAGATGGTAGACAGAGCTCATGGACAGCTGGAGCTGTGATTTACTGGATTAGGTCATTGAGGCATCCCGCAACGTCTGGTAGTAGAGTTTCTTCATTATCACCAATTGTTTGGGCCTTGCGTACTGGGAAAATTGGAAAGAATTAGTGTCATTTGACATCTTTTAAGTCTCCAGTGTTCTACCTGTTTGCATTTCAGGCCTCCAGATTTAGCAGTAAGCCTGTGACTCAGCTTCTCAATGCTATTGTGTCTTTGCACACCATGCACACACCCCACACACCTGTTCAGAGCTGACATTCACTATCTGTCATCCTCCCAGTTGGTGTCCATTCTGTCTCTCAGTGCCAAGGCCTTTATTATGAATATCACCCCATCCGTGTTCATGTCAATCAAATCACTGTGTGTGGATCCCCACTCTAACGGATGAATATGTCAGAGATTATGAATCAGAAGCTAAGCTGGGGTTTCATTGCTGTTCTTGGAAATGTTTTTGGCTACAGAATGCTTTATTTTTCCTGTTTCCATGCCAAAGCACTCAAACAAAACTTGTAAAGGAGAAAGCATACCACCTGGGTTTAGCCTAAATTGCTCATGGGCCTCCCTAGTCTCTGGAGCCACCATTAGCTAGAATATGTCAAATTCTGGTGTGCTCTTCCTCACTCTTAACCCTAATAGGCAACACAGAGTGTTAGCGCCTGGGATCTGGGGGGTGTCCTAGGGGTGAACATGTGTGCACACAAACCAGCCTGTACCTCTGACACAGCCACGATGCTGCCCATTCTCACTGCAATGACCTCTGAAATGCCAAAGTCATGGTTGTTGGTAGCAAAGCGGGGCATGGCACTGCTGCTCACCTGCTTTCATTTTAATACTGTCACAATCCTTATTAATGCAGGTTGTAGAGCCATTTGTGGCCCAGTGTTTTTTTAGAGATTTAGGGAAACAGATTTTTCTGGCTTTCCCAACAGCCTGGCGTTACTCTTGGACTCAGATAGGAGACCATGGAGCTGGGCTGGGACAGACTCAGGTGGCAGGATCCAAGCTGTTTCATAGTCTCTATTTCCCTCCAACATCCAAGGCCTGGCACTTCCTTCCAGAGGTTAAGTTCTCTCTCTGTGGCCTCATCTGCCTCTCAGGAAAGTGGATTTTTGAGAGTCTGCCTTTCTCCGGTTTGCCAAATGTGCTGCCCTGACCCCCGCAAGCCTGCTTTTACTCCCTGTTCAGTCTGTTGCTCCTCTTCAGATTGGCTCTGTGCTCCCAGAACACACCTGTGATTTCATTTTTATACATATTCCCCTGGGTAATTTAAATGTAGTTCTTTTTCTTCTACTCATAGGACTGCAGCTTAGGCTGGTTCTTGGGCCATGTGGACCAATGAGGATATGCTATTCCTTAGACTTTCCTTCAACAAACATCTTTTGAGCGACTACAATTAGCCATGTATAGAGATAGCACAGGAGCAGATACAAAGATAAAACACACTTGCTCTGCTTTCTACCCTTGAAACTCAGTCTCTATCGCAGAACACAGAGACATAGACAAAGTCATTGTCATACAGCGTTCTGTGGCATGAATGTTTATGTCTGCCCCAAATTCATATGCTGGAATCCTCACCCATGAAACGATGGCATTAGAAGTGGGGACCTTTGGGAGGTGATTAGGTCATGCGGGCAGAGCCATCATAAATAGGATTTAGCACCCTTATAAAAGAGGCCCAAGAGAGACCCTTGCCTCTTCTGCCATGTGAGGATACAGTGAGGAAATAGTTATCTGTGAAGAATCAGGCCCTTACCCAACACCCAGCCACCAGAATTGAGAAATACATTTTGGCTGTTGATAAGCCACCCAGTGTATGATACGTTGTTATAGCAGCCTGCACAGCCTAGGACACAGCATCATACATGCTGCAGCACAGGCACACCAACAACATAGGAGAGGGGCCATTTGAACTGGGTCTTGAGAAATGAATAGAAATATATTAGTTTGTAGTAACTAAGTACCACAAACCAGATGGCTTAAACAACAGAAATTTTTATTATCTCACTGTTTTGGAGGCCAGAAGACCAAGATCAGTGGCACTGGTGTCGGGGATTGTTCCTTTTGAGGGCTGTGGGTGAATCTGTTTGACGCCCCTCTCCAAGCCCCTGGTCTTCCTGGCCTCAGCACTGCCTGTGGGTAGAGGTAGGAGGCCGGGGACCTGGGAACCAGACATTTCAAAGTTCTGCTCACACCTTCCCTGTGTTGGGTGGATGGCATTGAGGTTATAAGGGCTTTGGTAGGAGCTTGAGCTGGCTCCCGCCCCAGCCCTGTACTTTTGAGCAAGTCACATCAAATCTCTGAGCCTAGTTTCTTCCTCCATGAATTTACCATGAAACCACCTGGCACATCACAGACACTTAACAAAACATGGTAGTATTATCACTGTGACTGGTCAGCCCAGAAAACCTCAATTTAAAAAAAATTAGAAGGTTGCATTCAAGCTGTAATGAAGGATGTCTGACTCCCAGCTAGGATCCGGAGTAAGCTGATGAAGAAAAGATTAATGATAGAAAGCATCTATTGAAGTATCTATTTCCTTTAAAATGCTCACTCTAGAAGATGTACCTACTTTATGGGTTCAGTCATTTGACTGTGGCAGTTTGAACAGTGGGCTATATATTTTGTAATAAAAGGAGATTTGTAAGGACTGATTGTCCCTTGGGTCTTGGTGCATCATGGGAGATGATTCAAATCCGTAGCAGGCACATGACTGCTCTTTGGGAGTAAGAGGCCAACAGTGCTGGACAGTAACCAAGGACCATCGCTGGCCTCGGGGCAGAGCCTTCAGTTACCTCCTGCTGGAATGCAACTACGGAGGTCACTGGCAGGACAAGCCCAGAGCCTGGAATGATTTTGCCATCTCGTTTTAGCCTGATTGTGTGTAATGAGTGGGGGCCTGTTGGGTGTATGCAGAGAGAGAGAGACGACATGGAAGCAACACAGACCACTGACTGCAGGAGTGCATATTTGGTCTTTTCTTCTGAATAAAATTAGAATAAAGTTGGTAAAATTCACATGAAGATATTTTTAAAAGTTTACTGGAAAACACAAAAATTTATATCAATGGACCAAGGTAAATATATCAATCTTTATAAATCAATGTACACATTTAATGTAATTCCAATAAACATGTCAAAGATTTTTTTAAAAACACTGAGTGTAGGCCAGGCGCGGTGGCTCACGCCTGTAATCCCAGCACTTTGGGAGGCCGAGGCGGGCGCATCACGATGTCAGGAGATCAAGACCACAGTGAAACCCCGTCTCTACTAAAACTACAAAAAAAAAAAAAAAAAAAAAAAATTAGCCGGGCGCGGTGGCGGGCGCCTGTAGTCCCAGCTCCGCGGGAGGCTCAGGCAGGAGAACGGCGGCGTCAACCTGGGAGGCGGAGCTTACAGTGAGCGGAGATTGTGCCACCGCACTCCAGTCTGGGCGACAGAGCGAGACTCCGTCTCAAAAACAAAAACAAAACAAAAAAAAAACCACTCAGTGTAGAGTGACAGAGATAGAGGTGAGCCCATACAAAGTACATCAGACAGTGAGAGAGAAAGGCAGAAACAAAGACAAAAATCCAGAGACAATGACTTGGCATAGATTAAAGGAGACCCAGGTATTAAGAAAAACAGATTATATATATGAGATAAATGAGAATGCAACAAGGTATAATAACTACAAAAGATGTTACTAATTTTATTATTAATTACCTTACATCTGTGCAAGACCTAGAATATACAAAGTCCTTTCCATGTTTCCAAATACTGGCCAACTAGGAGGTGAGATAATTAATGGCTTCTCATCCCACCACTGCCCTAGAGACATACAGCCTTGGTTAAAAGTCACCTAGACTTTTTCTGCCTCCATTTGCTCTACTGTAGAATGGCATTGCTCCCGTGTGCCTGGCTACCTCCTCTGGAGGAGTGAGGAGGGAGTCACCCTACTCTCTGTCTCCGTGGTTCTATCATAATGCTGCAAACTTCAGCTCAAGAATTGAATTTAACCTCCCAATAGATTTTGTTCTACCCCATGGGGATTTGAGTATATTGTTTTAATTTCTTGGAATGGAATGGAATTGAATGGAATGCAATAGAATGGAATGGAATCAACTCGAGTGGAATGGAATGGAATGGAATGGAATGGAATGGAATGGAATGGAATGGAATGCAAGAGAATGGAATGGAATCAACTCTAGTGGCATGGAATGGAATGGAATGGAATGGAATGGAATGGAATGGAATGGAATGGAATGGAATGGAATGCAATAGAATGGAATGGAATCAACTCGAGAGGAATGGAATGGAATGGAATGGAATGGAATGGAATGGAATGGAATGGAATGGAATGGAATGGAGTGGAAAGGAATGGAATGCATTTAAACTGAATGGATCCGAAAAGAATGGATTGGAATGGAATGGAATGAAGTGGCCTTGAATGCAATAGAATGGAATGGAATCAACATGAGTGGATTGGAATGGAAAGGAATGGAATGGAATGCAACGGAATGGAATGGAATGGAATGGAATGGAATGGCATCTGAAAATCAGGAGTTGTTATATACATATCTGAATATTGGGCTTCTTTTGAAACATGAGCAGTTGGGGTAGAGATGGTTTCTGTAATGCCCTTTAGTTGGACTTACTTACTCCAGTTAACCACAGTCTCCATCCCTCCCTATTTCTTCCGTGTTACCAGATCACTCCATTCATTTACGTGACTTCCTTGGCCTCTAGACTTTTTATATTTGCAGCCTTAATTCTATCTCATCCACATATTTTATTGAAATTATTGTCTCATGGGTCAGTCTCCTGTCTCAGCAGCAGAGGATGTGTCTTCTTGACCCCTGGATTTCCAGCCCCTAGCATAGTGTCTGGCTCACAGTAGGTGCTCAGGAAATGTTTGCTGAGCTTATCATGGCATGACACTGCGTGAGACTAACAAGGAGAGAAAGAAAACAGAAGGGAAAGTGGGCAGTAAAGACAGACTCTGAGATTGGCTAACCTCTGTAGTGCAGTCAAAGGTGCAATCATAAATGCTGGCTTTCTTGCTTTCTTCCCACAGATTTGCTCACACCCCCCAATGCCTCACCTGGCTATGTGGGAAGACACTGGATAGAGAGGAGCAGCAATGCTTCATCTTCCTCACCTTGACCCAGAAAATTAGAAGCAAGAACTTGGTGATCTCCAGGCTAGAAGTGGTACAACAAGGAGCAGAGCCCCTGGTGAAAGGTACCTGGAGGGCGCAAGGAACAGATTGGCAAAGAGCAGAGAGGATGGGCAGGCTCTGTGAGAGGTGAGCATCATACAGGAACCCACAGAGAGAGCAGGGCATAGTGTCTGTGTGTGGTGTAGGCAGCCCTCATTAGGAGAGACAGGCCTGTGTAAGGAGGAAGCATTTAGGGGCAGCATAGTGGATAGCCAGGAGAAGTGGGCATCTGGGATCAAATCCTTGCTGCATGCTGGCTGGACGTGTGACTTTGAGCAGGTTAATTGACCCCCTCTGGTCCTGTCTCCTAGTCTATAAAATGGGGACAATAATGATATTCACCTCATAGGGATATTGCATGGATTAAATGAGATAATGCATGTTAAGTGCCTGGCATGTGTTTACTTAATGCACTCTATATTAGTTTTCTATGGTTGCCAGAACAAATTACTACAAACCGGGTGGCTTAAAAGAACAGAAAGCTATTCACTCACAGTTTCAGAGGCCAGAAGCCCCAAATCAAGGTGTCTGCAGAATACAGTCTTCTGGGGCTCTAGGGGAGAATTTGTTATTCCTTGGCTTGGGGCTGCATCACTCCAATCTCTTTACATGCCATCTCCATCTTTACGTGACCATTTCCTACATGTGTCTGTGCCTTTTCTTCTGACTCTTATAAGGATACTTGCCATTGATTTAGGGCCCACCTGGTAATACAGGATGATCTCATCCCAAGATCCCTAACTTAATTAAATTAGCAAAGTCCCTTTTTCCAAATGAGGTCACATTTGCAGATTCTGGGATACGGATGTATCTTTTGAGCCACCATTCAACCTATTACAATACCTAAGTACTGAGTGCTTTCTGTAAGCCAGAACTTGATATGTGTTATTTGATCAGTTGCTTAAGCTAAATCTTGGAGAATAGCATTCTGGGTTCCTTGGGACCTGATCCTGTTTTCCCAAGTAATAAGAGGGTACCATGTGGGTGCTATGATTAGTGACCAAAGGAAGTTGGTTGACGTAGTTTCTAGATTCTCTGGCTTCCCTCCTCAGTCTTTTTCCCTGCATCCTGACTTAGGCCACATACAATATTTTTTCCTTTCTCTGCAAAACGTCTGTGGTAGGCATTTTTATGCTGTCCAGATCCCCCTTCAAGAAATGACTTTTAGTCCCAGCGGCTTGGAGTATTGTCATCGGCCTTCAACTTCTGATCCTCCCCAGTGCAGAGAGCTGCCTCACTGGAGATCACTTCTGTCCCAGCATAGGCCACAACCAGTGACAGATGGAGACAGCAGTACAAATGCCCTTTCATTTCAGCCTAACATGAGACAAGTTAGATAGGCCATTTTAACTCCATAGTTCCTTGGGGGATTGAAAGAAGCTTTGTGGGATTTGCATTGCAACTCCAATTCTCCCTCCACCCTTTCCTGCTTCCTCTCCCTCCCTTCCATGGCACTGATCCCAAGGTACTCCTGATTAAACACCCTGCACATTAAACTTCAAATCAGAGTCTGCTTCCCAGACATTCTAACTTGTGCCAATGTCTAAGGATCATATATTCTTGGGATCAAACAATTATATGCAAAATAGAAAATTTGGTCTGAGTTTGTACTTATGTATGATTCTGTTCCCATAGGTGGCAATACACAATGTCACGTTAAGGTTGTAAATCATATTTTAAATTTTGGAAGGATCTCTTTAGGGCTTTGAAGTTTTTCATTTTCCTATGACTTAGAACATACGACATGAATCTAAGGCAATTCTAAAACTTTGAAATACTCCTTAAGTATCTGGAAAAAGGAGCACCAGTTTGATTGTTGCTGAAAACTTCTTTAGTTGAAAATAATGTTTTGAGGTTTCGACTGAATGTATAACTGTCTTTGAATTTTTAGTTAAGTAGTGTGATGAAATTCATCAGATATTTAGCACCATCTGTGATCAAGAAGTCAAAAAAAAAAAGAATATAAGACCCAAGTGAGAGAAGTCCTGTACTGGTTGAGAAAATAGGCTTTTGGAATAAAGCAGATCTGGGTTTGAGTTTTGTCTCTACTGTCCACAGTCACTGAACTCTGTGCCTCAGTTTCCCCATCTATTAAATGGGGATAATGAACATATTTATCCTGTAGAGATTTTGTGAAGCTTAAATGAGATTATCTACATAAAACATTTATAATGGTAAACACAATAAATGTTATTATTAGCTACTACCTGAGGCAAAGCATATAAATAAAAAAAGATACATATACACCAAATAGCACACACTAATGAATAAATTTTTGACCATTTGAATCATTGTTTACAGAAAACACATGAAAATTTGTTCCTACCTTTAAAAAAGGATTCCAGATATATTTTCCTTATTAGGGAGAAGGTTACTAATTTTCTAATACTGAAAGTGACATCTGAGTGAAGACCTCATTAGGCGGTGAGTTGTGTGGCTCTTTGTGGAAGAGCATTTTGAGCAGAAAGAACAGCCAGTGCAAAATTCTGAAAGGATAGCTGGACTGTGTTTGAGGATCAGCCAAGAGGTCTGTGTGGCTAGAGAAGAGTAAGCAGGGTGATTGAAGTCAGAGAAATAAGAGGGTGGGGCTGGGTGCAGTGGCTCACGCCTGTAATCGCAGCACTTCGGGAGTCCGAGGCAGGTGGATCATGATGTCAAGAGATTGAAACCATCCTGGCCAACATGGTGAAACCCTGTCTCTACTAAAAATACAAAAATTAGCTGGGCGTGGTGTCACACGCCTGTAATCCCAGCTACTTGGGAGGCTGAGGCAGGAGAATTGCTTGAACCTGGGAGGTGGACTTTGCAGTGAACAGAGATCGCACTCCAGCCTGGTGACAGGGTGGGATTCTGTCTCAAAAAAAGAAAAAGAAGGAAAGCAAGAAAAGAAAGAAAAGGGTGGAGCAGGTCCTATAGGGCCTGGTTGGTCATCGTGAAGACTTTGGACTTTACTAAATGACTTGGGAACTTGTTGGGTCTTGAGCTAAGGAGTGACATGGCCCAATTTCTGTATTAAAAGGATAACCCTGACTAGTGTGTTCAGAATAGAGTAGGGTGGGCAGGGCAGAAAATGAAGGGAGACCGTGGTCAGGAGGCCACTGCGGTATCCCAGGTTGATGGCAAGGGCAGCTTGGACCAACCAAGGCATCACCACCATGGGCACAGAGCATGGTCAGCATCTGCTGTGTTTTGAATCCTGAGCTGATAGAAATTGGCAATGTCTGACAGGAACGGATGAGCTGAAGATGCCTCCAAGTTTTCTCTCCTGAACAACTGGAGGAAAATAGTTCTTTTACTGAGATGAGGAAGACACAGGGGACGGGCAGGTTTGGCAAGAAATATGCAGCCTTCATGTTGGGACCTGTTAAGTATGAAATAGCTCTGAAGCATCCGATTGGAAATGTTGAGGTGGCAATGAGATCGAAGAGTCTGGCGTTAGTGAGTAGTCTGGGTTAGAAATATAAATGTGGGAGTTATCAGGCTATCATTGGTATCTAAAACTATGAGACTTGAGGACAGCATTGAGGGGCTGGATAGAGAAAGAAACAGGAGTGACAGGGAAGAACTTGGAGGCACTCTCATGTTAAGGGGTTACAGAGGTAACGCAAAGAGGCCGAGAAGCGGCGGCCAATGAAAGACCAGGAAACCCAGCGGTCTGGAAGCCAGGTGAAGGCATGGGAGCAGGTTGAACTGATGGCTCAACTGGAGTTTGTTAGGCCAGTGGTCCTCAAAGTATTGTTCCAAACCCGCTGCGGCAGCAGCAGCCTCTGGAAACTTATTAGGGACGTGCAGCCTCTCAGGCCCACTCCAGAGCTACTGGATCGGAAACGGAGGGTGAGGCCCTTCAGCAGATTCTGATGCACCCTCAGGTTTTAAAACCACTGCCCTCCTCACAAAATTGCCTGCACAAAATTATAAATGGGAGAAAGGAGGAGGAGGAGGAGGAAGAGGAGGGGAGGAAGAAGAACTCTTTACAAGAAAAGAATATTGTTGGAGACCCACTTAGTGCCCAAAGCAAACAGCTTCCTCAGAAGTAACTCCCTCCCCAACAACCCCCTCCCAGTGTAAAGCCTCCCATTAATCAATCTATCATGGCTCTTTGGAGAGAAGGAATGCCCCCATTTCACCGGACGGAGGGAATGCTGAGCACCAGGCATGCCAGACATTCCACCGGCTAAAAAAAGTGGGGGTGGTATTCCAGGGTTAGCATTGCTGGACCGTAAACGCTGAAACTCCTTAGATATAAAGCTTATTCCACCCAACCGTTTCCAAATTTTCCTCCAGGCTGTCCTTGGAGAATTCCACCCTCTTTCATTCTGGGGAGAAGAAGTTAAAATTAGGGCCAGCCCTGCGGGACTGACATGCCAGATGCAGGGAAGCTGTCCCCAGAAATAAGCGAGTTCCCACCGCGGCTGGGCGGGGCGGGAGCCTCGGGTCCCAACCCAGCGGAGGGACTCCTGGAAGGCCTGCCCCTTCCAAGTGTCTGCAAGGGCTCTGGTCCCAAGCTTTAAAATCCTGAGCGAAGGCACTGCGGGCCGACCTCTCCTCTCCCAGCCAGTCGTGGCTGGCCTTTCAAAGTGTGCAGTTGTCTCCTCCCTGTCCAGCCCCATCGTCGCCCAGGACCAGCTGGGCCGCGGTCTGACCTGAGGCTGCTGCTCAGCGCCGGGGCGCTGGCGCTCTCCATTCGAGCACCTTCCAGCATACCGCTCGGCTCCGGGAGCCGCTCTGCAAAGTTGGGCAGCTCAGAGCGCAAGCTTTGCCTCTCGACTTCTCCCTCCTTGGGTCCCCGGCGCCCCCGCCTCCCACGATCCCTTTCACTAGGAGCAGCCAGTCCCAGCGGGCTGGCAACTTGCACCCCTTCCTAGTCATCCTCCCTGAAACGCGACCATGCTGTTAAGGGGCGTCCTCCTGGCGTTGCAAGGTAAGGCCTGGACCCCGGGACAACCCCGGGGGCGCTCTGACGACTCGCCCCCGCTCCTGCTGCCCCCGGGGGTCCGGCTCACCGTGCTGGGCTGGGCCATCCGAGGGCGCCTCCTGATCCTCCGCAGCCGCTAACTCCCTCCCCTGGCCAAGCCTGGGGTGGGGGTGGGGGTGGGCGTGGGGTCGCTCAGTGGAGGCGCCCGGGGATGCTGGGGGACAGGTACTGCATCCCTCTCCCGCCCCCTCCCGCTCGTCTTTCCCCCACTTTCACCAGGTAGTCCCCCTGGGGCTCCCCGAGTTGGTGCAAAGGCTCCTGGGTGGAGCTCGAACTGAAACTCGCTTTGTGCCCGCAGCCCTGCAGCTCGCCGGTGCCCTCGACCTGCCCGCTGGGTCCTGTGCCTTTGAAGAGAGCACTTGCGGCTTTGACTCCGTGTTGGCCTCTCTGCCGTGGATTTTAAATGAGGAAGGTAAGGAGGCTCGGTGGAGAGGGGCGCGAAGTGAACTTTCTTCCTTGATGGCTTGCTTTTTTTTCCCACATGGGTAATGTTATCTTGGAGTTAATTCTCCGCGGCAAGAAAAGTGTGAGTCATGGATCCTCCTTCAAGCCCTCAGCTGTGCTGCAAGGGATGGCCGAGGCAGGAACGGGGCGGGCGGGAGGCCGCCCTTTGTTTACCTGGCCTATGGGTAGAAGCTTAAAATTTGCGTCTCACCCCAGCACTCCTTAATGGAAGGGAGAAACGGAGCACAGCTAATGATTGTTCTCCGCTGTGGGCCTCTGCAGGCACACCAGCTGTGTGCCTCTGCAGGCCAGCAACCTTTCTGGTCCTCAGGAGACATGTCTGTGAGTTGGGAAAAGTTGCATGGGACTAGTTCTCCTTCAGCTTTGCAGAAATGGTTCCACAATTCTGTGATGGGACGTCAGTGCTAAGACATCACGTCTGCCTTGACCCTGACAGTGTTTTTTGCTGCATGATTTCATCCTCACACTCCTGTTTGTAATCCTGCCCTGGACAAAAGAAACCATGTACACTGCCAAATGCCTGGGGTCCCTGTCTCACTGGTGGTCATTGTCTTACTACTCTATACTGTTTGGGTCCCAAGGACAAAGTTTAAATGTGGGGTCTTCTGAAGTGTCATCTTGCCTTTATATAGTTTTTTTTGTTTTTTGTTTTAAAGTGTGGTTCTCAGTACCCAATGGCAGGCGGCACTGGGTGTCCCTTCTTTCCTTTCTCTCTCTTTTGTCACCACCAGTGAAGCCTGATGCCCACAGACTATTTGGATTGGAAAATAGCCTTCTTTAAAAAACATGGTACCCTAGATGAAACCAGCTCACCTCCTTCCCCACTCAATTGTCCTCAGGCCGCAGATCCTCCCACCTCGCTCCCTGGGGGAGGATGGAGCCCGGAACCCCTGGTTAGATGTATGAACTGTCACCACAGCTCACTCTGCCCCAGGCTTCTACTCAGGGTTCTGCATACATTAGCTTCTCTGACCCTCACAGGTAGGTGATGTTGGACCCGTTTTACAGAGGAAGGAATCTCAGCCATAGAATATTCAAATGGCTAGTCCATATCACAGTGTCACTGAGTGGCTAACTCTGAGTGTCTAGTTAGGAAGAAACAGGAAGGAACTGGTTCAGTAGTAATCTCCATCTTTATCCAACAATTGCCAAGTCTTGACTACTACAGTCTACTTAGGGGTGGCTGGGAAAAAGCAATTCTTGATTTATTATTCGAGGGATTCCTATCTTGCTGATGGCTTTAGGAAAGTCTCTGTAATCTTGCCACTCACCCTTTCCCTATACTGGCTGTATGGAAGCATTGCGGGAGATGGCCTTAGAAATGCCACGAGACTGGCTTTGGAGAGCACACTCCTCCAGCACGGGGCTTCTCAAACCTCAGCTGCATCAGAATCACCTGGTGGGCTTGTAAGACACAGATTGCTGGGCCCCACTTCCTGAGTGTCTGATTCAGGGGGCCTGAGAATTTCTAACAAGTTCCCAGGTGATGCTGATGATGCTGGTCTCGGGACTACACTTTGAGAACTGCCGACTTCCACAGTCTGTGTACACACACACACAACCTGTGCTGTTGTTGGCTCTGAGTAGGTCTGGCACTAGGGTGAAGGAGCTACTTGCAGGACCCGAGAGTGAACAGCTACTTAAGTCTTGTTCCCTAAGCACTTGGCTTGCCTCATCCTAGTGCTGGCCCTGAGAAAAGGAAATCAACATCATTCCTTAAGCCAGGAGCCTTAGTTAGTCTCTGAGTTCCTGCCTCCGGCCCTCTGTCAGGATGGGGGCCCCCTCACAGCCTGCCTCTGGTCAGTGGGCATGCCACAGCCTGCTGAACACAACTGCCTCCCAGACCCACAGGAAGTCTCTCTGCTGAGTTGGCACCTCTGCCCCAGGACAGCAGTTAAACCATCCCCCTTCAGGGAAAACAGGAAGATGCTTATAGAAAAAGGTGATTACAGTTTAATAGTATAACGAAGGCACTGTGGCTTTGCTTTCTGCATTCTTTCTAACAACCACTGCTTTCTGGCTCAGGACTGGGACTACTGGGTTGGCTGGCGGAAGTTAATTCATTCTCCTCTGAGCACTCCAGGGTGGAGCAGGCAGGTTAGGCTCCAGTTGTTCCAGCTTCAGTTTGTCAAAGGCCAGAACTTGGACGTAACAGTGTACTGCAGGCTCCAGGGCAGTGAGGTAGGTGTGTGGCAGTTGCTGTGGTTGCCTAAGAAGACATCGCTAAGAATTTCCCTTATAAGCCCATTTCTAGGTTGGTAAATTAAAGATAATAAAATTCTTCCAGGCTGAAATTTGGCAAGCTGTTCACAAGCTTCTCTGCAAATGCACTTCTTCCTGCAGAAACCCTTTGAAACTGGTTCCATGGTTCCATTCACCTTCATGTACTGGATCCACCATGGAAAGTAGTGGGTTTCAGAGACTTTTGCCCACATGCACTTCTTTTTTTTTTTTTCTTTAAGTTCTGGGATACATGTGCAGAATGTGCAGGTTTGTTACACAGGTATAAATGTGAATGGTGGTTTGCTGCACCTATCATCCCGTCATCTAGGTTTTAAGCCCCGCATGCTTTAGGTATTTGTCCTAATACTCTCCCTCCCCTTGCGCCCCACCCCCAACAGGCCCCGGTGTGTGAAGTTCCCCTCCTTGTGTCCGTGTGTTCTCATTGTTCAACTCCCACTTATGAGTGAGAACATGAGGTGTTTGGTTTTCTGTTCCTGTGTTAGTTTGCTGAGAATGATGGCTTCCAGCTTCATCCATGTCCCTGCAAAGGACATAAACTCACTCTTTGGTATTGCTGCATAGTATTCCATGCTGTATATGTGCTACATTTTCTTTATCCAGTCTATCACTGATGGGCATTTGGGTTGGTTCCATGTCTTTGCTATTGTAAATAGTGCTGCAATAAACATATGTGCCAGATGCACTTCTTATATGTCCATGGTCCGTAGGTTAATTTATTGTGGAGAGAACAATGCAAAAGGCCAGAGAAGGAAGGTAAGTTGGGACACAAATCTGCGAACTGGGGTTTCATCACAGGAGAATCAAATCTGGAGGTAGTTGGAAAAGTCTCCTTGTCTCTAAATATCCCCTTTGCTGCCTGAAATAGTTTCTGAGGTTCATGCCTTTGATTTACAGTATTAAGTCCCTAGATGTCCCTGATTACAGTTCGAGTGTCTCTATTTCATGGCCACTTTAAAATATGCTTTATCTCCACTGGACACAGAATAGGTAAGTTTTGACCAGGCATTGTGTTGGCTTGGGTTATTTATCCCAATGGCAGTTTCCCCCAGGGAATGCCAGGTGCACCATACAGGGCATCGGGCACTGAAACCCAGTTTTGTCTACTTTCTCATTTTGCCCATGGTTGTCCTGCTTTCTTGATCTCCCTCTATTCTTTTTGTAGAATATTTTAATTTTCCCTAACTTGTCAAGGGAAGTGATACTATGTCAGACTCAAATTTGAACTCACTTCTAAATCTTAAGTTTGAATTGAATCCGGCAAAGAAGGGATCTGTTTTTGTTTTTTGTTTTGTCTCTTTCAGAAGGAGTCTCACTCTGTTGCCCAGGCTGGAGTCCAATGGCGTGACCTCGGGTCACTGCAAACTTCGCCTCTCGGGTTCAAGTGATTCTCCTGCCTCAGCCTCTGGAGTAACTGGGGCATGCACCTGTAGTACCATCTACTCAGGAGGCATGTGCTACCACCCCAGGCTAATTTTTGTATTTTTAGTAGAGATGGGATTTCACCATGTTGGCCAGGCTGGTCTTGAACTCCTGACCTTGAGTGATCCACCCGCTTCGACCTCCCAAAGTACTGGGATTACAGGCATGAGCCACCGCGCCCAGCCAGGGTTCTGTTTTATCCTGTGAAAATCTTTCTCCATTCATTTATCCTATAAAAAAAATCATCTTTATTCACAGCTCAGAGGATCTGGAAACCCCTTTGAGCAGCAGTCCTCAGCTGAAATCGGGGCTGCTTATTCCATTTTCCTGATGCCAGCTGTGGGGGCAGAGGTCCTTTGCCCTGAGGATTCTTGGAGACCATGCGGTTGGCCTTGCATCCAAACAGGCACAATTCAAAAGAATCATTGAGTGGATATTGGCTTCATTCTCATTTTTGGACATTGTGGCTTAGCACCTTTAACTGAACTCTGTGAGGAAGCCACTTGAGGAGCTGAGGCAGGGTAAAGCCAAGTCTAGGTGTTGCCCCTTAATTAGGAGTTTGGAACACTCAGCTACCTGGAAGAGGAAGGCAGCTGCAGAAATGTCTCAGGTGAACAGGAAGTAAAAAGAGAAATTGAAAGCACTTGTTGCAGAGAAGACCTACATTGTTTTTCCATGGTAGGAGTCAGGGTTTGAGAAATCGCCTAATACAGAAAAAGGTTGGATGGCTTTTGTACCCAGGAGTGAGTGATAGCATCTGAGGCAGGCAGGTGGGCTACAGGGTTGGGCATCATGAAGGGGTGGGGTGGGGGCATGGTAGAATGTCCCGAAATCACGTGTAAATACATGTGTGTTTGTCTCTCTGATACCCTTTCCTTCACCCAAACTTGTCCCTTCTCTTTTAAGGACACTCTCAGCTCCTTGGCCATCTGCGTTTCAGTTCTGCACTCAGTCATGTGCCAGTTATTATTAACAGTGATGAATCCTGCCTGCTATTTCTTGAGGCTCAGCTAGAGCCACAAATCTGGCAAGGATCCCAGGTTCCTGGGAGAGGAGAACCAGTCTTCTTCCTGCAGACTACAGCTCCTTTCCTGATTTTGGAGGGCTGATTCAGCATCCCACCCTGGCATCACAAAGTTCATAAGGCCAGGGACGAGTTATGCTCATCTGCATGGGGCTACTTGGTCCTGCATTATGTCTGCAGGTTGTTCTTAGAGCTCTCTAAGCAGAAGTACAATCCCCACATTGTATGGGGGCTGGAAATCGGCACAAGTCAGGGATGTTCCTTGACACCCTCTGGGAGAGATGGTCGACCCCAGAAATGTGACCTAGTTACACTTGCAGTATCACATGCCATTTCCCGCTGCTGCCCTGGCTGTGACTGCTCTCAGGTTGAGCATGGCTGTGCTGTGCTGTGCCTGAGGGCAGCCTTGCTTCTGCCTTGCTTCCTGGGAACCCAGATCCTAGAGCTGGGCCTTGGAGGTCATCCAGTGCTGCCTCCTCCTACACAGACCAAGTCAGGCAGCCCTTGGACATTGCCTCAGCTCCTTGGCTCTCCACCAGTTCTTTTTCCTCCAGCATTGGAGGAAACATCCCTGTCTCCACTCTGGGTTCTAAACTCTGAAACTTTGTTGTGTTGGAAACTCTTCATCAGAGAGCTAATTATATTTCAGACATGTGGAAGAACTCAGATTCCAAAGATGCAGTGTTTGGGGCCAAACAAAGCCACAAAACACTACATTTTATGCCATACCATGTAACATGTATTCACTCTTTCAGATGTATAGGGATCCCACCCGTCTGTGATCTTCAGCGTGTAGAAAAGAGCCTGGCACATAGCAGGTGCTCGATATATATTTGTTGAATGAAAGAACCTGTTGAATGACTGTATTAGATCACAAACATATCCTTAAGTGTTTTCCTACGTGCTCCTGGTTCATTCTGCCCCTTCAAAGGTAGTTCCTTATCATGAAGAACGGCTTAAGCCTCGTGGTTAGTATAAGCTCTGGAGCTGGGTGACTTGGATTAGAATCCAGGCTCTGCTCTTTCAAGCTGTGTGGGCTTGGGAAAGTCATTTATCCTCTCTATGTCTCAGTTTCCTTGGCTATAAAATTGAGATAGTAAAAGTACCTATCACATGAGATTGTTGTGAAGACTATATACATTAATACGTTTAACACAGAGTGAGCACTTTATACATGTAACCTGATGTTATTCTTACTATTACTTGATGTGTCTTTTATCAACATCATAAACTTTATAAATAAACATTAGTTTTTCTAACTCAGACAGCTTTCCAAAACAGCTTTTGGGGACCTAAGGAGAGTGTGGTTTTCTTTTGCTTATAGTTATGCCATCTACTCTTCATTCCAACCAGAGAAAGAACCTTACTTTTCTTATTTGGCTCTAGTTTAAGCACTGGTAAGCCTTATCTCACTTTTGTGTGGCTGAACAAGGTGTGGATATAAAGTAATAACACTGAGTTTCATACTTAGTGTGTAGTCTATCCCAGCAGATGATACATTTTTCTCTATAAATTATTGGTTGTTGTCAAGAATGCTTTGCTTTCTGCTTCATTATTCTCCCACCCCAGCCTGCTAGTGCCTCAGCATCAATTGGCTCCATTAGTGATGGTGCTGGTGCCTTCTATGATCTCTCATCTCCTAAGTTCTTGGACAAGATCCTAACCCTTGGCCTTCCTGTCAATCAGTCTGGGTGCTTGAGTTCTCTTGCCTGACCCCTCCACTTGAGATTTAACCCAACTGGGGTGGTAATATCTGCCTGCTAAGCCTCTACTGGCTTCTGTGGATGTAAGCTGTGTCTGGGCAGCCTCCTCCTTATGAAGGCCAACACCCCATCTGGTTTCCTCCCTACTCAAATTAGAGTTGCTGAATGGGAAGTGGCTACCCAAATCCTGGCCTGATCCCTAATAAGACACCTAGGGATTTTTAGGATGTTTCCCATACCATAATTGCAGAAGTCAGCTAATATGTGGGGAGGAAAAAAATAATTTTTGTCAGAGGACTTTATGCTTTTGTTGCCATCTTCAAATCTTTTAGCCTATAGTTACCATGTTTTGGTAACTTGTATCTTGGGGTGTAATATTCATTTAAATATTTTGGTTCTTAAAATAACAGAACCTCTTTGGTAGATCACCCCAGCATCAGTCTTACTTCTATATCTTTTCAAACTATTAGGTTTTGAAGAAGTTGAGTGAAATCCATTTATGTTAGTAGAGGTGATGGGTATCCCAATAAGTAGAGCTAGCAGGTAGTTAAACTTGTCTTGGGTATCCTTGTTGGTCAACCCTGATTTTTGTGTCTAACAACTATCCCAGCACTCTCCTTCAATTTTTCTTATGCTTTTCTTAACCAACTAAATCATATAAATGTAGTTATGCATTCAGGTCTAGGTTCTTGGAGTGTTTGATTACATATCCATCTATTTATATCTATTTACCTATCTAGATAGATAGAGATAGATAGATAGATAGATAGATAGATAGATAGATAGACAGACAGATAGATAGATATAGTTTCACCTACAGAATGGTTCTCAGCCCTGGCTGGAAATTAAAACAGGTAAAAAAAAATTTTTTTAAAGCTATATCCAGGTCTTACTCCAAGAGGTTCTGATTTATTTGTCCAGAAATGGGACCAGACTTGGCATCATTAAAAAACAACACACACTAACAGACTCCCTAGGTGATTGTGATATGTGTCCATGGTTGAGGAATGTGTATTGGAATGGCTTTCAACTCCCCAGCTTCTCCAGATGTAAGAAAGAAGAAATGCCCTCGTCTTAAGTATCTTTTGATGATTAGCAATTACCCACAGGCTAATGTGCAAAATGCCTTGTTTGGCATTCAAGGCCCTTCACAGTTTGCTCCAAATTACATTTCTCCTCTTCCTTCCCATTAATCTCTAATGTGCTGTTCATTCAACATGCCCTTTACTTACTTGCTTCTTGTTTTATTTGCAAAGTTCTCTTTACCTGTATAATGCTGCTTTTCTATTCTCCTGTCCCATGCTCATCTATTTAGGTTCCACCTATGCTTTAAGGTCCAGCTTTTTCTTAAAACATTCCATAACTTTTCCAGATGAAAACCCTCCCTTCCCATGGCTCTCTGCACTTTCCACTGTGTAAGTCTTCTTATTGGCATCTCCTGATAAGAGTCCCCACCCTGTCACCTCATCAGACTGTTATGTCTCTGAGAACAGGAATCACATCCTCCTTACAATGCCTGATAATATGTGGCATCAACAAACACTTTGAATTTAACCAATCTGTAAAGCCATTGTTGAGATTGATGGAAAAAAAATAAAAAATCCTTAACATTTTTTTCCTGTAGTAAAAGAGGTTGTGTTTAGTAATCCTTCCTACCATGGGACTTCAAAGAGTTTGAAGGCTTATGCTGTAATTTCCAAATATAACAGCAAAGCAGTATTACAGCTTGTCT
The DNA here is from genome assembly GCF_000001405.40 of Homo sapiens. Lineage (NCBI taxonomy): Eukaryota > Metazoa > Chordata > Mammalia > Primates > Hominidae > Homo > Homo sapiens. The sequence goes on from NW_003315930.1 coordinate 28,761, forward strand.
CACCAGTACATGGCCTGTTTCATCCCTAATTTGCCAATGGACAAAAAGCTCTTGGATTATTTACCCATCAGGGATGCCTAAGTCCCTTGACTCTCTGCCATCACAAACAACCACAATGCAACCTTGAGAGTGGCACTGCTGGGGCTGGAAAGTATTTTTTGGCAAGGGATGACCAGACTTTGAACTAGCTATGGAGAGCGGGTGTTTCTGAGGTACTCAGGTGTGAGATGTCCATAGCACCCACCTTGATGGTTAAAAGCACATAAGGATATTTGTCTGCTCTGGGAAGAAGTTCTTATATATGGTTATGACAAATGGAGAAAGCAGAGGATCAGGTTTGCAAGTCAGATCTTCCAGGATATTTGCTTTCTCTACTTTGTGAGAAATTTGCATGTGTTTTATGGGATTCTGAGGCTAAGAATAAGATAATAAAACAAGTGGTATCATTACCATAATTTCATTGCATCATGAATAAATAATATGTTTTACAGAAAACCCTACTGCAGACTATTCATACTGTGAACAAGCATCTAAGTGTCTACTATCCATCATGTTCTATGTTAGTAGTTGGAGGACATAGTACATGAGTACACACTCCATAGGGTTCACAGTCATGGTCCCTGCCCTTGGTGGCGGCCCTAGGCCAATAGAGGACACAAAAACCCACAATTGTGGTAGAAGGTAAAAGGAATTGTGTGCTAGTCAAGGCTTTTCATTTGATCAAGCAGTGAAGGAGGTATTGGAAGGTTGTCAGTTAGCTCTCAGAATCAACAGGAAGTATAGAGAGCAATATTTGGGCAAGAGTAATACAGAGATGCAAGGTGTAGGCAAGATACTTCTGGAAGAGGCATTTGTGTGACTTTATCACTGGACATTTGTTACTTCACTGCTGGACCTGCCTGTTCATTCAGGAGCTGTGAGGAGGCTCAATTTGAGGGAGATAGAATTGCCAATGGGGAGGCTAATTAGGAGGCTACCCATGTATCTAAGGAAGAGATTATGAGGGCCTGAATTAGGGCAGGGGTGTTAGGTGTGAAAGGCAAGCAGTAAATAAAGCAACTTAAAGGGGATTAAGTTGGTAGGGCTTGAGTACTGATTGATAGGAGTAATGAGTCAGAGGAAGAGTGACTCTGAAATTTCTAGTTTGGGCAGCTGTTTGGTTGATGGTGCCAACAGTTGGGAGAGTTCCAAGAGGAACTTCATGCTTAGGGTAGAAAAAGATATGATCAGTTCTGAGCTGCCTGGGACACATCCAAGTGGAGACTTCGAGCAGGGCATTGATGTAAGAATCTAAAGATCAGGTATAGTCTGGGCAGGAGTATGGGAACCTTTAGCAGAAAGGTAGTAGTTAAAATTACGAGCAGAGATGATATCACCCAAGGAGAATGGATAAAGTAATAACAGCAGGAGGCTAAGAAAAGATGCCTTGAGCTCACATTTAAGGATTAGGTATAGGAAGGAGATGGGGACATGAAAGAAACAGGAAGAACCGGGCATGTATGAGAAGAATTAGGAAAGTGGAAGATTGTAGAAGCAAAGGAGTTAGGATTTTCAAAAGGAGGACGTGATCAGTGGGGCCCCATGCAGTAGGGTGGAACAAATGGGAAATGTCAATAGTTGGTAAAGACTTCTCAGCAAAAAAAGTTTAGATGTGAGAAGAAAGGGGTTCAACCATACCTACAAAGAAACTTTGAGATGAAAGTTTTATTTTTTTTTTCGTTTTGTTTTGTTTTAGGAAGGGGGGACTTGAGCTTGTTTCTATAGTAAGGGGAAGGGACCAGCAAAGAAAGAAGATTGAAAAGAGGGGGGCTTCCTTGCTAGCTCTGGATTAGATCCAAGTTCCACTTTGATGATTCAGAAACCCTAAGAGCCTGGGAATTCCTTTGTACCCGTATAATTCCAAGTACCCTCCACTGAGTGGCTTGTGGGCACTGGAGTGTCGACTTCAAATGTGTGAAATTTTATTTCTACTGTAAATACAGGGGAGGTGGGAGCTTGGGCTGAATCTGTGGTAATTATGATGTGCCCTGGAACTTACTCATTGAAAAACAAAAACAAGGCCAGGCATAGTAGCTCATCCCTGTAATCCCAGCATTTTGGGAGGCTGAGGTGGGCGACTATCACCTTAAGGCCAGGAGTTCAAGACCACTCCTGGAGACTTAGCGAGACCCTGTCTCTTTAAAAAAACAAAACAACACAAAAACAAGTCTTTTATAAGCTGCAGGAGAATGTTTTAGGTCTATGGGAATGTTACTGTATAATATATTCTATTTCTGTTATAGAAGTAGTTCCGAGTGAGAAGTACACAGTGAAACTTAATGAGATAGTTATGCAATAGCTTCCTATGCAGCCCAGGTCTGTGATCTATAGGTAGCATTTAATAGTGCCTGACAAGCACATTTACTTTCATCATCTTTAACTTTCACAACAATCTTGAAGGTGGTTATTATCAGTATTTTACAGATGAGAAACTGTGAGACACAGAGAGATTAGGATAACGTGCCCAAAGCAACTCAGTTGGAGAGTGGGAGAGTGGGGATGTCAAGCCAAGCTCACCTGGCTTGAACTTCAAGTGGTCCTAATTCACTTGGAGTTGGATGATGCTTTTGTTATTCCAGAGGTCAACACCAAGGAAGTCAGACTTGCAAGTTGTACGCTTCTCTGCAGAAGGTGGGGAACCTCTGCCTCCATCATCAGTGTTGATGATGTCCCAACATTACAACTCCTTCCCTGAGTTCTAGGCCCCACCTACAACTAGTGTGTCTCCCGGGCAGTGGTGAGCCTTTGGAAGGCATCAAGTAGAGACAGAGAAATGTAGTTTTTACTAATTTCTTTTCCATAACAGATTAGAGTTTGCTCTTGGAACCATTTGAAGGATTCTCTTCTCAATCCTCAGCATAATCTTGGAAGAGAACTTCAGGGAAATTTTATAGCTTGACCTAAAATACTTTGGCAGTCTTAAGGAGTATTCCTAAACTTCAAGTTCATCTATTCCTACTGTGAAAGAATTAAAAGAGTACACAAATAAATGTGCTTTTGCAAGCTGGTTGCCCTTCTAGATAAGAATTTTGGTACTTCTTCATTCTATTACTCTTAATAGAATGGCAATGTTTCTATACAGTCCTGTGATATATAACTTTGCTAGATGCTTAGAGAAATTTCCATTCCTTATTTGAAAAACTTTTGCCTCACTGCCAAGGAGAGCTGAAGTGTTATTTGGGGCTATGCTTATAAAGAGGATGACTTTAATATGCTTTTGCTTCAGTGAGGAGCTGACTCCTTCGTTTACCAATATTTTATGACCAAAACAATCTATCCAAAACTACAACTCAGGAAGTTTTCTAAGTGTCTACAGATTTCTTCTATTTCTTTGACTTTATTAAAAGTGAATAATAGGGTAGACTGTTGGAGAATTTTCTCGTGAAGTATGTTTTGATCCTATATTAGCCAACTTTAAAGTATAAGCTTTATGGAAAGAAACTCTGGTTTTCCATTACAAATCCTGAAAATTGGCAACAGCCATCTGAAATCCCACTGTTGTTTCTAAAAATCTTTTTTCTTTTTCATAAATTCTGGTGAGGAAAATGTGAGTTAAACTTTAGTATCTTTGTTGTCAACTTATGTTGTCAATATAAAATATTTAAACTACTTATACATGGTTCTGTACTGAATATTGTATAATACAAGATAAGTGATGTTGGGGATAACACATCTGAAGATGCATTGTATTGGCACGCGGCGTGATTCATTTTCTCTTGGGCTTGTGGACTAGGACTTATAGTACTTGCTTTAAAGCAGGGGTCCCAACCCCCAGGCCACAGATCGGTACCGGTCTACTAGAAGCCCAGCCACACAGCAGGATTGAGCAGCAGGCAGGCAAGCGAGGCTTCATCTGTATTTACAGCCACTCCCCATCACTTGCATTACCTCCTGAGCTCCACCTCCTACCAGATCAGCAGCGGCATTAGATTCTCATAGGAATGGGAACCCTACGTAATTTGCACATGTAAAGGATCTAGGTTGCGTGCTCCTTATGAGAATCTAATGCCTGATGATCTGTCACTGCCTCCCATCGCCCCTAGATGCAACTTTCTAGTTGCAGAAAAACAAGCTCAGGGCACCCACTGATTCTACATTATGGTGAATTGTATAATCATTACATTATGTATTGCAATGAATAATAGTAGAAATAAAGTGCACAATAAATGTAATGTGGTTGAATCATCCTGAAAGCATCTTCCCACCCCCTGGTTTGTGGGAAAATTGTCTCCCACAAACCAGTCCCTGGTGCCAAAAAGTTTGGGGACTGTTGCTTTAAAGAGTATTGAATTCAAAAGAAAATTCTGCTAACTGTTAGAAATCAATCCCAGGTTTTTACACCATCCCCTATTAAAGAACATATCAATAATTACCAATGATGTCTTAATTTCTGTCATGATCAAGTTTGATCCAAGTGGCCCTCTTGCCTATCAAGTACGCTATTATGCAGCTTTTGAGAGAGGATGAGGGTGACCTATGTGTGTAACAGCTTAAAGCAGACAGCTCAGTTGCCTCAGAATATTCCTCAAGCTTCTTGTCTCTCCACAAACTCAGCTACTCACAATAAAAACTGCTAGAAGATGAAAAGGGTGCAAAATGGTTTATATTTTTAATTAACCCCTTTAATTTGTCAAGATGGTTATTAGGAAGTCATTCGTACTTTGGGGAGCATATTCCTGTCATAAAATAAGTTTGGACACATTTATGAGCGATCTCTTGCTGAGCACAATATTAGCCTAGTAGTCTAAGAATTCTTAGAAAATTAATTGGTCTTGGAGAAATAGATAATATTTGCCATTATTTCCATCCTAATGTGCAGTGAATCATAGTCATGCACAAAAGGCACCGGATTTTAGACTCAAGTGATTTAAAGACTTTTCCTTGGAGACGTTGACAAAGGAAAAAGCCTGGAGAGAGACCATCTGAGATTTCATTTCATTCTCCTTTAAGTTTCCATCACAAACCACCAGGTGTGCTGCAGAAGGACTTGCCATCCAGGTGCCCTCAGCTGGGAGCTAAGGGTGATGCCTGGAATGTTTTATTTCAGTATTTGAAAGTAGATACCTTGATAATCGTTTAAAAATTTTTATCCTTAGATTTCATTTGAGTTGCTAAAAATAAGCTCAAAGACCAAAGTGACATTTGCAAGCATTTGTAGAGCACTGAGTGGGCATGTTGGCATTGAACTTGAAGATTCAATAGGAATATGAATAATGACAATTATTTTATTGAACAATTATTGAGCAATTATCACCAAACACTGTGCTGAGTGCAGGACATGCATCATCTTATTTAATTCTTATAATCCCCCTATGAAGAAAATGTTCTTTACAGATGAAGAAATTGGGATTTAGAATTTTTTTAACATTCCCAAAATCATAGAGCAAGTTATTGGTGGAGCCTGGATTTTAACCTAGGTTTATCTCCGAAGACTAAGAACATAACCATTCTGCTTTGTCACCTCTCTGTTTACATCCTCTCTTGACATGGGGTCTCAAAGGGTCCTTGTGATAGAAATAATAATAGTTATAAAAATAGATAACCCATATGGAGTGGTTTCTTTTGGGTATATATTGTTCTCCGTGTTTTTTATTATTAATTAGTTTAACCCTCCCAAGGGCCTGGTGAGGGTGGGTCATTTTTTATCCCCATTTTACGGTTGAGACAGGTGAGGCAGACAGAAGCCTGCAGGTCTTCAAGATCCTAGGCAGCAGGGCTATATTTTGTAACAGATTTCCTGGCTCCTGCCTGCCTTCTGTGAGGGATACAGCAATTGCAACGTTCATTTATTTTCTGCTGCACTTTGAGGCAAGAAACTTTTCTACTTGAGTTCTGATGTGAGTGACTAAGAGAAGCATGTAGAAACATTAGTTCTTCTAGGTTCTCCCATACACAGGGAGAATTGAATTCGTATTTGAGGAAATGAGTTCTAACTTGGGAAAATTTGAAATCCATCATTTTCTTTAGAAATGGCACAGTGCCCTGGAACAACAAGAATTTTCTGCCTGGTTCCAAGTTCCAAATGAGATTAACTTGAGAACTCCTGTGAGAGTCTCACACTCAGAGGATCCCCACGACTGACCTACATTCTCTGGACAAATTCCAGTAGAACTATGTTTCTTGATCATCTTGATGGACTTGTTTTGAAAATGAGTGAAGTATCCTTATACAAAGAAAAATGAAAATGTAATATTTGCCTGCTTGGGTTTTGCAAAAAGGCATATGAACTCAAACGGGTAGCGAGGTGAAGCAGGAAACACCACAGAAGCCTGAGAAGAGGGAAAATCCTTCAACCGTGGGATAAAGGCAGAGGAGTGAGATCAGTCTTCTGTCTTTCCATCCTGTAGTGGGCAATGTCTCTTGACCCATGGCATACGAGCATGCGTCTCTCATTTAATTCTTACAACCCAGTGACGAAGGTACCCCTTACAAATGAAGAAACTAGGGTTTAGATAGTTTGTTTTAACATTTCCAAAGTTCATGCTATGGGACATGAACATGTGCATTAGGAAGCCACAGGAGAATAATGACCTGTGTTCTATTATCCTTCGTGTTAAGCTCTTCTTTCATGACCCCCTCCCCTCTTTCCTCCTCCCGCTGGCTCTTGGTTCTTTATGACTTGCTTTCCCAAGCCTAGAACAAGTTCTTTCCTCATTCATTCAGGTAATCTAGTGCCATTATCACAAAACCAACGCCATGTTCCACAGTTCAAAGACAGTTTCAATAAAGTACAGGTAGAGAGAAAGCTTCTGCTACAACATTCAGTTCTTTTTGGCCTCAATCCTTGAAAATAGATTTCTTCATCGTTTTTTCCAGAGACAGTGTAATGGCTGATGGCTATGTTAGGATCTATTAGAGGCTAAGGGGCTGAGATCAAAGGCTATGTTCTTGTGAAGCCTACACTGCCACACCCAAATACCCAATTCATGAGCTCCCTTGACTGGAGGCTCAGTACACTTGATTCACTGATGAATTAAATAGGTAAGGGTGTGCACTAGTGTCATTTCCTATGCATGTCTGGAACCCTCTTCCTTCAGACCTTCACACAACATTCTGTGTCTCTTCATTCAAGCCTTGGTTGAAATGTTAGCTTCTCTCCTGAGCTAAGATCGACCTTAAGTTCAACCTTCCTCACAGTCACCTGATTGTAATTCTTTCACTAGGACATTGGCTCTCTGATATTTTTCTTGTGGATTTAATTATTTGTTCATTGTCTATCAACCCTGCTGAACTCTAAGCTTTGTGTTTATTGTCTATCAACCCTGTTAAACTCGAAGCAAAGAATCCCTCTCACTTGTGTCACCAGATTCTCCTGTGCCCAACACAGTGTTTGGCACTGGAGAGACACTCAGAATATGTTTGACAAATGGATGAATGAATCTTAGTCCCTGTGGCAATTCAGCCTTAGCAATCTATGAAGGCTGACACCTTGTCAGGCTTTTTTAAATAAAAAGAAATAACAGATGAGCTCGAGCATCATGGAGACTTCCTGCCTAAGTGATGTGCTTCCCTCAGGGATGTATCTAGGCAGAAGCAGTGAATAGAAAAAATGAATTTTTCAGTTATGCTTTCATCCTGCTGTTATGGCACCCCCAACTGTCCTTGTCTGCTGGTTCGAATGAGTGTTCCACTGGGAAAACAGATTTATTTCCCAGAAACAGGATAGCATTTTCTTCTTTTGACAAATCTAGAAAGCAATTCCTGCAGCAAAGAAAAGATATATAACATGCAGATACTAAATTCCAAGACACTGCCCAGTCATGAGTAAGAAGGTGTGTGTGTGTGTCTGTCTGTCTGTCTGTGTCAGAGAGAGAGAGAAAGAGAGAGAGACAGAGAGAAATCCTTAACTAATCTGTGGCTAGGTCTTCCCAGTCCCAGATGTTGAATTGGTTGAATGAATTGTTTAAACAATTGTCTTAATTCTCTTCCCTTCCCCTAAGAGAAGCCACTGATACCTGGAACCCATCATGGTACTCAAACTTCAGGTAACATGGAAAACACTCTCTCTCATCATCATGGATTTTTCTTTTAGGATCCCAAATAACACAGAACTCAGTGTGGAGCTCCCAAAGCAGTTGGGAAAAAGAAAGCCAATGAATGGATGTGAGTGGCTGGCCCTAATTTTCATGCATCCTTATGCAAATGCACAGTGTGTTGCATTTCTATACCTGCCTCTCTATGGAGGTGTGGGATAGCCAGTATTACAACCAAGAGTTTACATCTGTGTTCTCCAGGCCCACTTAAATAGAACCACAGCTACCAATCACTGCCATTTATCATGGGCCCCTACAATTTTTGCACACTTTACCTTGGTTCACACAACCACCCTCTGAGGTGAGTGACATCCCTTCTAGTTCACAAATGAGGAAGCAGAAGTTTCTGTTGGTTAAATGGTGTCTGCCTGACATCACACAGCTAGAAGTGGCAGGGCTGGGGCAGGAAGTCTTGTCATGGTGTCTATCCTGCCTCCCAAAGCACTGTCATTATTTTCAGATCCCTCTTAAAGTACTTATCACTCTTTCACTGTATTGGTATTCTTTCAGAACATATCTTTCCCCTCCTATTAGGCTCTAGAGGTTGGCATCCATATCTCTTCCTTCTCTTCATCCCCTGTAGGGTCTTAGTGAAATGCTCTGCACATAACAAACCAGGAACTGGACTAAGGTGAGGAAAATGAGGCATTCTCCTTGGGTGCAAAATTTAAGATGGTGCCAAAAATCAAATGATCAAGATAAATAATATTTTAATACACTATTTAAAAACTCAAAATTAATGCAAAAATTCCATGATGAGCAAAATGACAAAATTTTAAATGAAAACAGAGATGGCTTCTGATCCTGCAGTTGGCTCACCCTAGTCCCAGTCCTGTAAAAAGCACTGAAAACTTGTTGAATGTATAGGTTGTAGAATTGGTGTTTGGCTCTCGTGAGCTAAACATGTGATTAAGTATCCAGTGAAATGCTGCCATTCAGAACTCATGGATGAATCAGGTGGACTAAAACCCTTGGCCTTTCCTGTTGTCCATCTGACCATGAAGATGTTGATTCAGCTGTAATGGGATTCAGCTGTAATGGGATTCAGCTGTAATGGTCACACCCAAGCCTTGAAGAATGGCCAGAGTCCAGCTTCCCTACCAGCCTGAGCAGCAGTCTACCCAATAGGGAGAGTTTTCTTAACAGAAGTTTAAATTAAAAACTGCCATTGGTTGTCTAAGATTTTGAAATTTCTATGCTTGCTGTTTCATTTTGTCATTTTTCCTCTTTTCTGATTTTTTTTAATTTCAAAAAATCAGAGTAGTTGTTTTGGAAGGATACACTTGGATACACTGATATATACATATGAGATGTATACACACACACACACACACACTATCTCTTTATATATTTATCTATGTCTCCTCTACCATTCCCAGCCCTCTACCAGGGCAATAGGAGCTCAGTAAATATTTTTGAGTTATTAATTGAAGGATCGTAAGAGATGAGCTATAGGAAAAAGAAAGTTTTTTAGGTTTGAGCATACTAAATCTATATCTAAGTCACCACCATAATTTATAGCTAACAAAAAGCTTTATACCAAACAAAAAGATCAGATCAGCAGGTCTAATTTGCTTCCATTTAAACCCATTTTTCCATGCTGTTTTCATTGTTTGTATTTGGGACACTACTTAGCCAGATGAGGGAATCTGTAAGTGAAATGGACTTGCACTTCTGCAAGTTAGAGACAAGAAAAGCCCTCAGTGGTGTAACAGCCAGGAACTGGGCACAACAGTTTTTCTTCTTTCCTGTAAATGTGGCCTTCTTAACTGGATCACCAGGGTTGGAGCTCTGGGTCTGGCTGTTGAAGAGAAGGAGCTATTTCCATCAGAATAAATTCTTCTACTGCCTAGGTGTACTCTATATAAACAGGCACAATCTACAAAAACTTAGCAGTTTTCAGCAAAAACGGATTTTTTTATTCATTCAACAAGTATCTACTGAGCATCTTCAGATGCCAGGTGATGGGAACTCAACAGAGAGCAAAATAATAACATCTGTCTCACATGGAGCATCGGTTATGGTGAGGGGAACTTAAAATAAATGACTAGGCGTAATTCTAGCATTTTGGGAGGCTGAGGTGGGTGGATCACCTGAGGTCAGGAGTTTGAGACCAGCCTGGCCAACATGGTGAACCCCGTCTGTACTATACATACAAAAAGCAGCCAGGCGTGATGGCAGGCACCTGTAGTCCCGGCTACTTGGGAGACTGAGACAGGAGAATCACTTGAACCTGGGAGGTGGAGGCTGCAGAGCCGAGATCACGCCACTGCACTTCAGCCTGGGCAACAGAGTGAGACTCTGTCTCAAAAGAAAAAAAATAAATAGGCAAACAACAGTAAGATGAGCCAAGTGGTATAAGGTTCGTGGAGATGGAGAGAAATATGACAGCAAAAGGTAGCTGTTTTGGCTCAGGTGGGCAGGAAAAGATTCTCTAAAGAGGAAAGTGCTGAGCAGAGGCCTGAATGAGAGATGGAGTGAGCATAGTTCGTGATGTGCGTGTCCTTGTTCATCTTTGTAGTGCCTCATCCAATACTGGGCGCATAGTAGATGCTTGGGAAATATGTATTTAATAAGTAAATAAAAGAAAAATATAAGAACGTTATTTACTACTCTATTTCAGAACTAAGTATTTAGATAGACATCTTTTGAAAATAATGTTAATTTATCTTATAACTTAATGTCTCTTCATTTACCATTAGATGTTAAAAGATAAAACAAGAAAGTGATAATAGTATTATTAAGAGTTATCACTGGAACCTACTTTGTGCCATACACTTGCTAGGCACTTTATTCTAATTATTTATAATCTGTTGAACAGATTACAAGCCTGTAATTAGGTATCATTATTATCATTCCCATTTTACAGATAAGAAAATTGGGGCTCAAATAAGCTGCCTGAAGTGTATGTTTTTAAATATTGCATCTGGCATTTGTACCCAAGTGGGCTTCATTCCAAAGCCTGTTCTCTTTTAGATGTGCCACACCACTGATTAAATGGAAGCCACCTGAAAAAATAAAATTTTACTGAAAAAGATCTTTATTGATTTTTGCTGAATTACAAAGGGATAAGCATTCTTTATTTTTTTAAAAAAAGAAGTGTATGAAGAATAAATCAAATGTGATTCTCACATCTCTACTGACAATAAGAAAACCTTTTCTTTATAAAAATGATGTATATATATATAATAATTTTAAAACAATATAAGGACATATGAATTTTTTTAAAATTTTTTTTCCATAGGTTATTGGGGAACAGGTGGTGTTTGGTTACATGAGTAGGTTCTTTGGTGGTGATTTATGAGATCTTTGTGCCCCATCACCCGAGCAGTGTACACTGAACCCCATTTGTGGTCTTTTATCCCTTACCCCCTTTCCACCTGAGTCCCCAAAGTCCATTGTATCACTCTTATGCCTGTGCGTCCTTATAGCTTAGCTCCCCCATATGAATGAGAATATACAATGTTCAGTTTTCCATTCTTTCACCGGATATATGAATTAAAATTTTAAAACTCCCTTCTTTTCCTCCAAATCCCAATCCCACTGTCTGTAAGGAACCACTACAACCAATTTCTTGTGTAATTTCTGAAACTGCGTTTGCACTTGGAGACAAAGAGAAGGGGTGTGTGTGTGAGTCTGTGTGAGTGTGTGTGAGTGTTTGTAATCCATCTTTAGGAAACAGCTTTTACAGATAATTTTCTGTTTCCATCCATGCCATGTGCCTCCAACTTCCTAAATGGCAAAAATTTTACTGCATAACACATGTAAATGAGGAACTACAGAATGTGTATGCTGGAAGGTACTCCAAAGGCCTCTGAGCAGAACCCTCTAGTTGTCTAATGAGGAAACTGAGGTCCCAGAGAGTCAAATGACTTGTGTAAGGTAACACAATCAGTCCAGAGAGCAGCCAGCAGCCAGTCAGTAAGAAACCTGGGTTAGTAGTTTGTCTATATAACCTCGTGCTACAAAACAAAACAAAGCAAAATAAAATCAAGAATATGCCAAGCCATTGTAACTTGAGTGGAATCAACATTCAAGAGCTTCATGTGAATTAATATTTAGGGAAAATACTTAATCTTAGCTCCATCTGTCTATATGAAATATAATGAAAGAATCAATCAGTAAAACCTCCCTCTGTCAAAATCACACAGGAAACATACTAGAGAAACGACTAACAGGGATTACGAGCTACTTATCCAAAAACCATGTGTATCGGTTTTCTAAATCTTGAAGGCAAGTGTAAAATAGAACCTTATTATTGAAAACTCATTTTTGCCTTTGAAAAGGTGTTTTGTGGTGAACATTCTAGTACATTCAACTTCTCCATATTGATAAGATTTGCTATTTATGTTGCACAAAATGTCACGGATTAAAATAAAATATATTCCAGCTTAAGAATCCCTCTTTCTGTCCAGAAAATCAAGAGTTTTGATGACTACTAATCTATCCATATGTAAATATTTGGGTAGTTTAAAATAGTATTTTAGTCTATTTTAAATGGCTTTGCTTTAGGAGATGCCTAAAGCACATTTCTATTCTGGTGGCTTTGAAAAATCCTAATTGGAAAAATGATGTAATTTTCATCTAAGAGAATAAACTGTGTCTCATCCAAGCAGGAGTCAAAACCCCACGTCCTTTTTTTTTTTTTTTTTAATACATGGAGGCCCCTGAAAGTTAGAATAAGGCAGAAAAACCATGTAAAATTATGATGTTGCATTTTGATAGAAAACGTGTACTTCACTCCAATCCCTGGCCTGGTCATTGGGTTGAGACATTGAGTGGAGTACACTGTGTTTCTACCAAAATTATTTCACAATTTCACTTGTTATTTTTGTAACAATTACCAAAGCTCATGATTCTTACATTGCATAGCCCTAATGAACATTTTCCCATTGTTTTTTCCACCCTCCTATTCCTTGCATGTTTGCAGAAGTTTTAGTGGATGCCAAATGTTGTTCTTGAGCAAGTTTGTTTATTTAGTCATTTTTCCTTTCAAGAGAATCTATTGATACCCACAGTATTTCAAATCATAATGTAGGGCCTGGGATATAGTAGTGAATGAAACAAAGTTCCGACTCTCCTGAAACTTATATTCTGGTAAGGGGAAACATGACATTCACAAACACATAAATAATCATATATGGTATCGTGTCCTATGAAAAATTAGGGTAAGAGGATAGGTATGAAGGAAGATTGGGGCAGTTCAGAAAGACCTCTGTCACAGCTCAGCAGAGACCCAAGGGAATGGGGCAGCCAGACATGCGACTCTCCAGGTTCCAAGTGCTCCAGGCAGAGGGGAAAGCAAGGGCAAAATCCCTGAGGAAAGGGGGTGCTTGGTGAATATGAAGAACTGTCAAGAAGCCAGTGTGCCTGGAACAGAGTGAATAGGAGCAAGACAGAGTAGTAGAAAATGAAGCAAGAGGTAGCCAGGCCAGAGCACTTAGGAACTAACAGGATTTACCTGAATAAGTGGGAACTGGGTGACTTTGAGAAGAGGAAGGTCACGTCTCTTTTCCTTTTAGAAGAATCTCGCAGGCTGGTGTAGGTAGTATACTGTGCAAGGGCGAAGGGGAGGTAGGGGGGCAGCTAGAGGTTACAGTTCAGACAAGAGATCATAGTGGCTTAGGAAGGGTTACTGCAGGGCCATGGTGTATGATGGTACAGGTTGTTCGCTACCCAAAGGCATCTGGCTTTTCTCATCAAGCCAGGGGTTGTGCCAGCCAAAAGGAAAAGCTATCTTTTTCTAATTGGCATCCCAGAGTGGGGGTTTTTCTACAATTCATCTGTCTTTTGCTAAATTGCATGCTGGTGCTAAAAGTATGTACTAGCAATGGTGCTGATGGGTCACAGTAGAGATAAGTGGGAAGTGGTCTTATTAAGGATATATTTGAAGAATAAAGCCAATGGGATTTGCCGATAAAGTAACACATAAACAACTCAATTAATAAATTAATGAATTAAGTTCATCAATATCTGGGACCTCTGTCACTCCTCCTTGTTGCAGGTGGGTTCCCTAGAAGCAAACCCCAAGGAGATTAGCAAGTAGGAAGTTTATGAGAGGGTGCTCCTGGGATCAACACCTGAGGAAGAGAAAGGGAAGAATCAGGACTGGACAGAGGTAGAAATTGTGTGGCAATGCAACCTCAGTGAAGGCCTCAGCCTACTTCATGGATGTTCTAGCTCCGGGATGACACTTTTGTGTTTTTCCAAGTCGGGGAAAGAGGGTTAAACCCTGTGTCTAGTATCCAGAAAAAGGCATGTGATCTTGGATGTGCCAGCTATTTTCACTGAAGGCATTCCCCAGAGAGGGCTGACCAGGGGAGGCTGCTTTCCAGTGGCTGTCCCACCATCTGGAGTAATAAGCCCTTCAGTCCTGAAGAGGGATCTGCAGCACAGCATCTCCACATCCCATGGAGGGACACTCCCTGTCCCTCATCTGTGGCATAGATATTGTCAGGATACTCTTTTCTGCTTGCTCAGATACAGCTTCCAGTAGATTTCCGGGCAGCTACCAACAATCCCATCAAATGGCTCTGCAGTGGAACTCATTTACCTTACACATTTTAGGAAAAAGGTTGCCCATATCCCTACCTTCAGCAAAGTTATCAAGTACAGGACAAAAAGTGTACAGTGAGCAAAAAGTAATTGATTCCAAGCTCTTTCATCTGAAAAGGAGCTCAGGTGATCCTAGGGGCCAGTCATTGGCTGGTATGATCTTACATGTGTTTATTATCTAAGGATAGGATCTTTCAGTTCGGTGATGTAAGTGGGAGATGCAGCTCATTTGGATAATTTAAGAAAATCACATTGTTTATGAGGAAAACATCTCTTAGACACTCTTTCTAGGTGCAATAGGCCTGCCTGCCAGTATGGCCCACCAGTGTGGTGTTGCCATGACAAAAACTCCTCATTGAGTCACTAGATCAGAGAAGCAGACCTCAGTGTGCCACCTTGGGCAGCCCCATGCAGGTCTGAATGTGCTGAGCCATGTGATCTTATACAAGGACTTGTCTACATTTTATTTTCAACATCTTTAAAATGAAGAGAATCCCTAATCTGTGTATCCCATAAAGAGTCCTGTGTGGCTCAAATGAACTCGTCTGAGCTGATACAAATTACAAACTTTAAAGCATGCTACCATCGTGAGCTGGTATAGGACTTATAAAGAGAATCCAGAGAAGAGTTAAGCTTGATGGTTTTGACATCTCAAAAGTATGAGAGACTATAAAAATATTTATTTTGGTTAGCTTGTGAAATAGGCAAAGGGCTATTTTATGAGTATTCTGGGCACAGATGCTACTTCTTAAAAGGCACGATAATCACTCTGCATCTAGAGTAGCCTGTATTTGAGGCACAGCCTGGAGTTGGGGATCAAGTGCAACAGCATTTATTGAGCACCTCCTCTGTGGGGGTAGGGAGCACTGGGCTGGATAGGATTCAATGACAGTGGAGGCAGGGACCTTTTCTTCAAAAGACTAAAAGCCAATAGGGGGCCAGGTACAGTGGCTCATGCCTGTAATCCCAGGACTTTGGGAGGCCATGGTGGGTAGATCACTTGAGGTAGGAGTTTGAGACCAGCCTGGCCAACACAGTGAAACCCCATCTCTACTAAAAATACAACAACAACAACAAATTAGCCGGGCGTGGTGGCAGGCACCTGTAATCCTAGCTACTCGGGAGGCTGAGGCAGGAGAATTGCTTGAACCCGGGAGGCAGAGGTTGCAGTGAGATCGCACCACTGCATTCCAGCCTGGTTGACAGAGTGAGACTCCCTCCATCACAAAAAAAAAAAAAAAAAAAGGCAATAGGGAACAGGAAACAAACATCTAAATTCCAGGACAAATGTGATATGTGCAACAGGACAGATACAAGCATGTCTCCAGGTCCAAAGAACGGAAGAGTTTTATTAGGGGACAGAGGACAGCAGAAAAGTTTTCTTAAAGAGGTAGACATTACAATGCTGTAATGAATGGGTATGATTTAAAAGTTAGGTAAAGCAAGGCAGATATAAGGCAAAGCCTCAAAAATAGGTAACAAAATTTATTCCAATGAAAGAATGGTTCAATGTGATTGCAGCAAACAACAGTGTGGAAGAATTTGCTATTGCTTGGAAGGGGCAGAACCCGGTAGAAGGATTGTGTGTGCACAAGAGAGGAATAAGCTGAGGAAACCCGAGATTCAGCCTTGGCTTATGAATCCCCTGGACAGTACCTTCTCTTTCTGTCACAGATTTTTCATCTCATGTGTGCCATTTCAGTTGCATGCACACCAAAAGAGTTATTATTCTTGTTGTTCCTGTTTTGTTTTTCTGTTAACATAGTTATTACTTTCCTGGTCAAGTGTAAAGAGCCACATGATTATTAATAGTAATTATATTTATTATAGCCACAGGTATTTTAAGTGTTTCTCAAATTATAGCACAACTTTCTTATGCAGCTGTTATCTCCACCTGCTTTGTTGGCTAACGTAATGTTAACATAAGCCTCAGGAGCCTCAAAGTTTTTGTGTATCAAACAGCCAAGGCTTGTCATTGTAAACACTTTATAGACGATAGGGTCAAAAGCAAATTTTTAAATATGCATAGTCTTTGGATAATTTATTTAGAATAGGATACCTGATAAGTTTTAACATTGAAAGCTACTTTGTTCCTTAATGGCTAGTAGAGGCTAAAAATAGTCCAAAGTTTGTTTCAAAATAGAAAAGGGAAAAGGTTCCAACTCCTGAGATGGAGAACTTTTTGAAGATGATTGTCAATATTTAGCATTGGTCCCTATCCACACTTTAGCACCTGGGAGGGAATGGCTTTGCTTTCTGGAATTTCTTGCTCCTGAAGAGTTACAGGAAGAGTTGGAGAAGAATTTCAGCCAGAAACATTTGTTCTTTTGGTTGTTCTCGCCTTGTTTCCTAGGACATCGTTTTCATGTCAGCATGATCTTGGCTGAAGAAGAATTTATTCCTCTTGACATATTCCTCAACTAAGAATAACAGTCTCAATGTGTCTTTTTGCAACCCTGCCTGAAACTGCTCCAAGATCCCACTCAGGGGGAGGTGTTTGCAAAAGGGATGAGCTGAACTTTGGAAATAGCGTAGGGTGAGTGAGGTTGTATTTTCACTGTGCATTGTTAGAAACCAACATACTATGTGGGAGATTCACTAATACCTAAATCCTTCCTTGGCCAGTAACTCTGTGATTTCTTGAGCTTCCTAAGAAATATCCAGGCACAAAATGGGCATGGGCCTGACTGCTCCTTGGGAGGAGAAAAAGCAAGGTCTATCTTTATCCTATGGAAGACTGGTCCTGGACCTTTTCACTCCAGGCATGTGGAAAGAGAAAGAGAAAAAGGCTAACTCCATGTGGCCTTATAGACTTTTTAGCTCCACTGCTAAGAAAAGAAAATTTGGCTCAGTCCTTATCAACAGTTTGAGGAATCACCCTCTTTTTTGGAGAGCGGAGTTTCCTTATCTTAATCTGAGCCTATTGTTTTAAAGAAGTAAGGTAAAAGGTAGGGAGTTTGAGCCATCAGCTCTACAAAACCCCACTCACTGCAATGTAGTATAAATATCTGTAGGTGTTGAGCAACATCCAGAGATTTGCATCATTGAATATGCATGGCTAAGCACATAGTAGGTGTTCAGTAACTTCCTACTAATTGAATGTTTGATTGATTAGAGAGACAAGAAGATCTTATAACAATATATTTCATCTATGATATAGTCTTGTGGCCTGCAAGTTGAGTACTGAATTATATTCAAACTTCAGTCTATTTTGGGTCCATCTTTATAGGTATTGATTTGTCATAGATCCTTGCCTACTGTACTTACTGTCTTATCCCATTTCTTATTTGCCTATTTTCCTACATATATTCTATAGCAGAATATATTTTTCTGCCATTTCTACAGTCAATTTTTTCCTCCCTCCTTTTTAAGGTAAATATTCTGAGATATAAATATATAACATCACTAAAAAGTATTTCGATAAATAGTGTTGCTATTTGCAAGGCCTTCAAAAAATCATGATCAATTAAATATTTGCATATCAATGGTCATTTATTTATACTAACCTTTTAATGCCAAATATCCACCGTCCAGAACTCTATAAACAGGAAATGAAAAAGGACCTAGTGGAATTCCTCCACAGACAGTTTTCAGAAGGTCAGAATGAGAGGCCTTTTTGGTACTGGTTTTGATAGAGTTAACTTGGATTGTGTTGGGTTAATAGTGTGTGCTTTACCATATGTTTTAAGTATCTATTCCTTGTAAGGAAGACCAACCGTGAGATGAAGGAAAACTCGAGAGTAGTACTTGATTTACGTAAGATGTCATAGTTTCCTTTCACAAATCAGAAAATTCCCTGATTGAAGAGTCTGTGCTACAGCCCAGGGGTTCCAGAATTCAGAATTTACTCTATTTTTTTTCCATGCAAGTAGAAATAATTAGCTAAGGAACCAAGCATGAATCATAAGTCTAGGGTTTTGGTGAAAATATTTTTATGATCTTCTAATTTCGTAGGATTGAAATGACTGCTTATTTAACTTCTCTGAGCTGAATTGTCATATGCCTTACTTATTTCCCTGGATTGTGGTGAGGTTAATGAAGGCGGTGGAGACACAAAGTGTTTTGTGAACCTTAATATTCTATACATACGTGAGGTGTTATTTTTATTCTTATCAGTAAGATAAAGCCAAAGAAAGAGTTTGCATCATACAGCCTTTGGGTAATTTTTTACTTCTGCAGTGGTTGAAAGCATTTCCATTTGGGGAGTTGATGAGAAAGAGTATCAACAGCCAGCAATTCTGGAGAGAATGCACACAGACAATATTTAAAAAAAATTAATAAGTTGGGGGGCAGAGGGAGAGCACGTGAGCTTGGAGAATATTACTTATGAATAGATGAACAAAGGCTGAAGGAAGGGACCAAAAATGAAATTGGCGTTTCTCTTTAATTTACCTAAAAGTTTCTGGAAGCATATTACAAGTACATTACAAAATACAATATGAAGGAGGTAACTTGAGAGGCTGAATTTTAAAATTCAAATGTAAAATGTTTAAAAGAGCCCTCGTTTAGACTATTTGAGGTACTGCTCAGTATTAAAACCTTATCGAGTTTATTAAAGATCAGCTGTCAATTAAGTAGATGTTATCAATATGACTGACAATAATAATTTCAGATTTATTTATTATTAGAAAGTCTTTAGTGTTTTGGTAATTTGGGGAAGGTAGAAGATACTGACCCTCACCTAGTTTATTTTGTTTTAAATTCTGATGTAAAGTACAATGTATCATGTTTTCCTGACCATCAGTGTCACCTCAGCATAACCCGGGAGGTGCTCAAATAAATGTGGTTCACCATGATCACCAGTCCCACTGTGGGGTGACTGATCTGCCTAAAGCCCAAGTTTCCAATGAGTACATTCCTGAGTCTGGCTGAGGCTTCTTTCCTCAAGGTAAGAACTCAAGAATTCATCCTGAATTCTAGTCCTTTCCAACATAGATTACAAATGCTCTTAATTTTAGAATGGTGATACTGTATCTAATAGAATAATAGTAGTAGCTTTATACTTATCAATGTTTTCTATATACCAGCCATAATTCATTGAATCCTCACAACAAATCTATGAGCTGGACATTGGTATTATTATTATCCCCACCGATAGATGAGGAAATGGTGGCACGGTGAAAAAAGTTAAGTAACTTGCCCAGGCTATATTGAGTTGAATTTGAATCTAGGGAGTGTGGATTCTTCACCATGAGACTGTATTGTCTCTTTGAGCTAAATAATTGTGTCTATCTCTGCCATTTAAGAAAAGAAAAGGTTAAGACAAAAAAAAGTACACTAAAAATTAAAGGCAAAAAAAGCAAATTTTTTTTAAAAAAAGATGAAAACACATTTTCATTCTATTTTTTTTTCTTATTTGGAGACAGAGTCTCGCTCTGTCCACTGGAGTGCAGTGGTGCAATCTCGGCTCACTGCAACCTCCGCCTGCCAGGTTCAAGCGATTCTCCTGCTTCAGCCTCCCGAGTAGCTGGGATTACAGGCATGTGCCACCACACCAGCTAATTTTTGTATTTTTAGTAGAGATGGAGTTTCACCATGTTGGCCAGGCTAGTCGCAAATTCCTGACCTCAAGTGATCCCCCACCTTGGCCTCCCAAAGTGCTGGGATTACAGGTGTGAGCCACTGAATCCAGCCTATTATTTCTATTTAAGATGCAACAGAGATTTGTGTAAGGAAATGACAAATAGGCAGTGCAAGTAAAGCTTACATATCTGCAAATGTCTTGCCAAGCTTAAATATCTGAAAATACGTGGTTTAAAAGGAAGAAGGCTTTCACTTCTGATAAGCCAAGTTTGTTTTAATTTGTGGTACTTGTACATCTTGTACCTGAAGAGCACTGAATATTTATAATAAAGGTTCCTAGTTGTTTTAAAACCAAAACAAAAATAAGAGCTGGTGTAGGGGCTGATTCATCCCAAGAGGAAATTCTTGTGGAGTGGACTCTCACTTTATCTTGTCCAGATTCCTGAATGGTCACTTCAAATGTCAATGTGATCTCTGCAGCTTGGATACCTCTCCTTAAGCTACTAAAGGGTCTCATGAACTCTGGGTTTTGGCCGAGGACATTGAAAAGACTAGTTGGAAAAAACTACCATTCTGCAGTGATTCATAGGCAGTATGCTAGCAGCTTTCAAATAATGTGAATTATATACAGGATCCTAGCAATTTTCAAATAGTGATCAAGTAAAAGTTGTTGATGGTTCTGGTATAAACCATGAATCTCATCTCACCAAGACGAGTGCTGGGAAGGAAGGGGTTAGAGTTTCTCTCCTGGCCTGGCCACAAGCCCCTTCTCTCATCATTCCAGTCCTGATGGTGTCTTATCCATGTTTGTCTCTTCTACATCTTACATTGGTCTTAACAGTGCCTGTGATTACTTCAACATGTAAACAGCCAAAGAGAACTCTGTCTGCAGCTGTTCAAAGCTCTGTCCTCCAGCCATGTTTCTTAAACTCTTGGGGTCATGAGCCCTTTTGAGAATCTGATGAAAGCCATGGATTCTCTCCCCAGAAAAACAGACATGTAATAGTTTGTGTATGATGTCATGAACCTCTGGAATCAAATCCTCTACCCCAGGGTAAGAACCCTGCCCTTAATAGCTTTAAATGAAAGGATGCTGTTTGACATCCAGGCTCCTTCTAACTCATGCTTAGCCATTCCTAAGTGTGGCCCTTATCCTCATGGTCTCAGGCAGTGGCAAATTCTCCATCTATTATGAATGTATTTCAGGCAAGAAGATGGAAAGTAAAGATAATTTTTAAGGGCATTTCCTACAAGATGCACTTAAAACTTATGCAACTTTTAAGGTTCCATGGGCATGTGACTGCTGCAGTGAAAAGCAGACAGTTAAACCATTTTGAAATTCTTAAGAGATGTATGTTTGAGTCTGTTCTGTAACTGAAATCCAAGGGGACAATGGGGCATGTGCAAACAAAGTGGGCAATACCCTGAGGGTAAGTGGCTCTCTCACCTGGATGCCTCACCTGTCCCAGTGTGCAGAGGCTGCAGTACCCTTAAAGGTCACTGTCTGCAGGGGGTTGGGACAGCAAGACGGTAGGCAGAGGAGATGCCTGGCTTGCTTTCCCAGCCGCCACCAAGGCACTGAATACAGAGCTGGCATGTGGCAGGATGGGGAACCCAGAAGAAAACCCCAGAGGCTGTGTTTCACTGAGTCGCCAAAGTGAGGGACTCCTCTTGCCTGACAAGTGTCTGTGCGCTTGAGGGAGCAACATAACATGGCAAATAAAAATCATCATGACAGGTCAAGAGAGAGATCCTGGAAGTAATGAAAAAGCTTTATATTTAATACTGTTAACAGCACCCTTTTCCTACTTTTTCAGCAAAGAGCCCTGCATTTTCTTTTTGCATGGATCCCTTGAATTATGTAGCCTGTCTTGCTCTCTCTCACTGGCCAGCCACAAAGAGCTGCAAAGAATGCTGAAAAATACAGTGTTTATTCTAGTGGATGTGCCCAGCCAAAATCAGGAGTTCTGTTACCATGGAAGATGGGGAAAATTGATATTGAGGTTGATAGCTAGCAGTTTCTACCACATAAGAAGAAACCACCCATTATTGAAAGTGTTTACAACGTTTAGCTCACTGAATCCTAAAAGCAATAATACTATTAGCCCTAGTTTACAGACAAAACAACAGCACACAGAGATGAAGTAACTTGCCCCAGAGCACACATCTAGCAAGCAATGAAGCCATGGTTCAAACCTGGGCAGTATGGATTTCAAATCCAGGACCCTAACCCCTGCAACAGCACCACCTTTGCAGCTCAGCCTGCAAAACCCACAGCTGTGATTCGGCAGGGATGTTCTAGCCTCTGAATCCCTTATAAAAACATTGGTCATGAAATCACCTGCACCAGAATCGCTACAATATTTGTTTAAAATGCAGTTTCCCAGGCTTTAAGCCAGGCTACCAGATCAGAATATCTGCAGGTGGATTATAAGGATCTTCATTTTAAACAAACTCCCTCTGGTGATTTTTAGACACTTTAGGAAATATTACTTAAAAGTTTTAAGGTACAATAAACTTCCTGGGTTGAGGATTGTGTGGGAAGCCGTGAGGAAACAGACATTTATATTAGCACATTGATGGCAAGAAAGCAACAGTTTACAACCCAATGAGGGGGAACGTGGCAATGTCTACCAAGATTACAGATGCATTGGCCCTGGGATGCAGCAGTCCCACTTCCAGAAATCTAGCCTACAACTACAATTACATGTGTATGAAATGTACAAAGTTACTCATAGTGGCATTATTGACACCAGCAAAATATTGTAAGCACCCCAAGTGTCTAGCAAAGGAGACCAGGATGAGCCCATCCATGTAGTGGCACACTGTGCTGCTGTCTGGAAGAATGCAGGCAATCACTAAGTACTGATGGAGGGAAATCTTCAGCACATGTTGCAAAGGGAAAATATAAGATATGTAACAGTGTCCCTGGACATGCAGGCAAGAGAATTCCCTCTCACCAGGAACAGTGTGCTCCCGAAAATGTCCAGTGACGTTACAAAGGCTGAGTCTCAGGGCTGCGATGGCAGGTGGGGGCAGTTGAGTCAGCTCTGGCCCCTTTTCCTAAGCCCTGAGCTGTTGAAGGCTCCCTGATAGCTGTCTTTAAAATTAATGGAGGGGCTGGGTGTGGTGGCTCACGCCTGTAATCCCAGCACTTTGGGAGGCTGAGGCGGGCAGATCACGAGGTCAGGAGTTCAAGACCAGACTAGCCAACATAGCAAAACCCCGTCTTTACTAAAAATACAAAATTTAGCCGAGTGTGGTGGCAGGCACCTGTAGTTTCAGCTACTCAGGAGACTGAGGCAGGAGAATTGCTGGAATAGGGGTGGCAGAGGTTGCAGTGAGCCAAGGTCACACTAGTGCACTTCAACCTGGGCAATAGCATGAGACTCTGCCTCAAAAAAAAAAAAAAATTAATGGCGGTACTTAGGGCCTCTCTTCCCTAGGCAATGGATCCTGTTCACCAATTTGGTGGCAAAGAAAAACGTCTTATTCCATCCCTTTAGAGATGGTAAACCTAGATTTGGAGTGTAGAATGATTCTGAGATGGCACTGACTTCTTCATCCTTTTCAATTGGAAAACATGCTGCCTCAGTCCTAGACTGGATTGTTTTGGGGAACAAACTTTTTTTAAAGTGTTTTGGAGGATTGGTGCTCTTCTTCCGACTCTGTATGATGCCTCTCTCCTCTTGAATTTGGATCACTTGCTTGTGGTAGAATGTTTTATTTTGTACTCTAGAGAATGCTTATACTCTTGAGTGGAAACATGAGGGAGTTTCAATAACAGATTGTTCTCTAAAAATAGTCCCTTCAGCCTTTCCTATTAAACTAGGTGTCAAGGCTCAGGGTTAGCAAAGCAGTTTGTTAGAGCAAAAGCAGCACAGAGCGTTCCCTTGGAGATTGTCATATATGGCTGTGAAACTCCAGGAAGGCAGACCTTAGAATTCTTCACAAGTTAGAGGAGAGAAACCCAAATGCCAGGTCACTCTTTTTCTTTACTTAAATAATATGTCAGCATCAGGAAGTAGTTTAAATAATAGACGATCTGTTAGCACAATGAAAACCCTGTCATCTTCCTGTGTTTGGGGCCTGGATTAATTTATTCTAGGTTCTCTTATGGTTAGTAGTGGCTCCAGAATGTGGCGAGGGCTTGAGGCTATGTTTTCACAGACTTTTTGTAAGACTGAAAAAGTATAAATTGATCACGTCAAAGAATGAAGGAGTAGCTGATACGCAACAGAGGTGAAACCCTCCTTCTTCCTCCCTTCCTCTTGACACTTTAATTGTTCTAACTTGGTGGATGATTCTCATCATAAAGGCCCAAGGTTATATCCAAGGTTAAACTGGACCAGCGATGTCCAATAGAGCTTTCTGTGATAATAGAAATGTTGGGTACCTGGGCTGTTCTGTACTATAGCTGCTTGCCCAATGGGGCTATTGAGCAGTAGAGATGTGGCTGGTATGACTGAGAAACAAAATGTTTAATTTTATTTCCTTTCAGTTAGTTTAAATGTAAATAGCCACATTTAAATGGCTAGTGGCTGACATTTAGACAGCATGGCTCCATGATGCATGGAATAGGCATCAGGAATTATAATTTCTGAACTCTACCTTCATGAGAAATTGAGATGATGGTAGTGTCATGTTAGTGCTGTATGCATCACATGCCCATCTTAGAGAATAGTTATCATTGACCCTTGCTTCCTCTTTGGATGTTCTGAGGGGTGCAGGCCATTTGGACTTTCTTATTGGTTTTCATGAACCAGAGATGTCAATGCCAAGCCTTTCTTGACTGTGTTGGTCCATTTGCAAGAAACAAAGCAGGGATTCAGTCCAGGAGAGGCAAGCTAGTATGAAAGCCCAGCCCAAACAACAAAAGGTGTGAAGTTACAACACTGCACTGCATGTGATATTCACAGGTAAGAAAATTTCATTTGTATGTATGTGTCCCTTGAAACTCAGAATCAATTAATTAATTTCAGAGACTTCACTCTACCATTCCTACTTATAATTTTTATTAGGAAGTCAATTCCACCATTCCTACTTATAATTTTTATTAGGAAATAGAAAAAAAACTGCTATAGTGCACAATGTGTGAGATCATGACAATTAGGGGTTCATTTGCTTTTGCAAAATCATCTTGAATGCAGGATGGATATCCAAGGTGACTCTGTAAGAGCACACACCATTTAATCTGTGTATCTTACTAACCTTAAATCAATCTGATAACTCCCTCTTACCCCGTTTCTCTCCTTCAGAATGTTCATGTTTTACCTTAGGCCCCTTCAGTGGTATTTTTCAAAGTGCCCACATAATGTTTTATGCTACGTCAACCTAAAGTGAAGAGGCTGAGGCACAAAATATAATTTAAACGTTTCACAAGCCAAGTGAGGACAGCTGCCCAGAAGACTCAGACTCAAGCAACCTTGGGTATGAGCTCCATTGACCTTTGTTATAAGCAAGTTTTTAAAGGTGAAGAAAGGGGACACGGAGTGAACTAACACAAAGTTAGGAATTCTTATTGGTTTACAAAAACAATGTTGATTAGTGATTGGCTATATACATTGTTAAGGTATAGGGTGTGGGTTGTAGTACCCTGTGTAGCATGATTAGGTTAATTTATAGCTATCTGGGCAATAGCAAGCAGTTTCAAGACATGAAAACATAGCTCAAAGCCGGGAGTAGGATGTAATTGCTACCTCCTTTTAATATCTCTCTGGACCTGAAAATTTTAAAGGATTTGCGTTCCTCCAATGAAAATTCTTTTCTTTTCTCAGCTGTTAATTAAGAAACAATGGGTAGCCAAGCCTATCATGCAAGCTGCCATGTCCTGCCAACAAAAATCCTCATCCCCAGGCCTCGCACACTCAGAATTATTGCCCTCCTTCCCTTAGGAATTCTACCTCCTTAGGAAGTGGGGATGTTGGATGGCCCACAGCAAACCCAGCCTGCTTCAGGTGACCAGCTCCAATTGATCTTTACTTCACAAACTGTCCATCTGAGAATCCCAAGACCTCAGGGTTAGCACAGAGGGAGCCATCTTCTGGAATTTGTCTTCACTCCAGCCTCCCCCTAGCTAGTGTGTTTTGTTGTCAAGACACCCAACTGGGTCACCAACTCCTGGCCTCTGATGCACACTCATTGGTAATAAACCATGCTCTACCTGACCCTCCACCCCAAGGGGAAGCCCTGAGATGCTATAGATGACTATTGGCTCACTTACCGTGCATTATTAGCAGAGCTCCCAAAAGAATGAATCTCACTGGCACAGACTGTTGTGTACAAGTATGGATCTAGGATGATTTTCTGATGTTGAGACACAGAAGCTCTCAAAGGGCTTATTCAAGGAACAAATTCATGACATTATAAACTGCTATAAGAATGACCTTAACTATTCTCTCCTACTGAGTGAGCCACCCAGCAGAGCACCATGAGTATAAACAGCCCTAGACTGTCAGATCTTATTGTTTTGTTGATGAGCACACATGGTCCTTAAGCATACAGTGTGGGTGGTCTGCTGGGGGGTTATGAATCAAAGCCAAGGGGGTTTGCTTTCTGGTCAGCCTCCATGAGTTATTTGTGAGCACTGGACTAATTGCTTCTAAACTGCACATGTAATGGCCACTTCTGAGTTTTTGATAGGAAAATGGCTACTTGTTTATTCTCAGATGTCATAATAAATCTGTCCTTTGCAAACCAGAGACCCAGCATGAACACATGAATGGGTGAGTTTCAGAGGACTTCCCTGGGATCCACAGCTCACTGTGCAACCTTGCAGAAGTTGTTTGACAGGTGTGCCTTCGGCCTGTCCCCAACATAAGCAAAACACACCTGCCCTTTATCTGGCTGAGTGGGAGCATGTGCAGCTGCAGTCGATTAAAACTGAATGAAAGTTTGTCTGCAAACAGAGCTTCTTGGTGGTTAGATGTTGTGTAATTACAAGTGTTATTGCAAAATACTATTCTTATTTACTTTGTGTATGTTGAAACACTTTAAATGTATCATTCATTTTGTAGGGCAGATAGTATTTTCTCCATCTCCTGTTTTTGCTTTAATACACTATTGGTTATTTTAAATGACCAAACCATTCATGCCTTTATGACCATTCAAATAATACAGAATATGGGGGATAAATGACTAATTAATAGATTAATAGTCTTCCTCTTCCCATCTCCTCGAGGTAGCTAATATTATCAAAGCAGCGTGCTGCATGCATCTTTCCACAATCACTCTATGTATGTAGAAACATTATTTTTAAAGCTTATGAAAGTGTACCTATGTTTTTATATGCTGTAGCACTATACATGTATGTGTACATATATCCACACACATTCATGCATGTGACATTTCCAAGTCTATAGAGATCTGCACATTCATACATGTGACATTTCCAGGTCAACAGCGATCTAACTCATTATTTTAAATAGTTGCCTAACAGTCTGTAATATGGATCATAATCTATTTAATCATTTTCCTGTTGCTGGAAATTTTTATTTTTATTTTTTACCTTAAGGTCCTCTGTTAAGAAAAAAGGAAGAAAAAAGTGCCTTGCTCTGCAGTGGTGGGGTTTGCAGGGGCAGTTGGTTGGGCCGTGTGTGTATTTGGGAGTATTGTTTGTTTACACAGTCAGTTTCCTAGGTTTCCATGTGTCATTGCCAATCTGTGTTGAGTTAGCGGCCAACAGCTCTTCCTAAACCACGTCTTGTGGCCAAGTGCAAACTGAACATCGAGGAATGGAAAATATTGCAGAGTTTCTAAATGGTCAGGAAGGTTTTAATCCCCAAACAGGTCTAGTTCCTATTTTGTGAAAAACAGTGTGGAAACACCTAATTTTTAAAAATCCTCCACTGTCAAATGAAGAGAGATTTGGGGTTACTGGTCCGGTTAGGTGCCCTGACTCAGGCATCCCTGGAACATAATACTTCCACAGTAGACTGTCAGCTCACTGAGGTAGGCCCTTTGATGTGTTTTTGTTTTCTGCCTGGCATAAAGTAGGCACTTAATAATAAATGTTTGTTGAGCCAAATGGTTTACATAGGGCTGAAAATTACCTTTTTTTGTTTGATTTTTGAGAGTCTGGCTGAAGAGAGACTGTCAGCTGTTTGTTTGACACAAAGGAGAGAGCTTGATGGGACAGGGAAGGGGAAGAAGGGCAGGCCAGGAGTAAGATTTAATTTGGGAGTAGGCAGGGAAGAGGAAAATGAGGTAATGTGGTTTGGTCTAGTGATAGATGATAAGTCAGATCTTGAGGATGTTTATCTTGGGCTCAAGAGCAATGGAAAGCCACAAGAACCGTCCTGGAGGGGGAGGGAATGTCCAAATCTGTGAGTGGAGAGCTGACTTAGGCTTTGAATGTGTCATTGTAATTGATGACCAGGGAGGCACTGTCCTCTCCTGCCCCTTGCTTGGGATGAGTTTGTTATACCTTATTTTTATAGTCCTGCCAGGTCTCCATGCACCAAAGCATATTCAGAACAGCAGAAACAAAACTTTAATGTTTCGTATTATGAGTTTGTCTGTAGTATGGTTTGTGTGTGTGTACATACCACACATTTCCACAGATAGACCAACACAAGTAAAATTAGGGGATATTAAAAAACCCTTCAAAAACAATGAAACTGCCTTACAAATTCTCAGTCTTCTCCAGACTTCTCTGAAGAACTCAAGACTTCTCTTGAAGTCTTGGTGTCTTCGAGAGACTTTTAACCAATCTCCCAAAGAGTGTAGAAGCTTGTGGATAGATTCAGCAAATTGAAGGTCCCATAGTCATCATATGAGCTAGCCCCAGGCTCAATCCACTAAGCGAAAGAAATTTCATGAGATCTTTTTTTTTCTGGAGGCCCCCTGAGGCCATTACTTCCTCCTGGGAATATCTAAGGAAGCTAACCAATTACAATCAAATCACCTAATTCTTACCCGTCACCTACTGTGCCTATGCCAGATGTTCTTACCTGTGATAATCTTATTTCCAATAAAAATAAAAGACACCCTGCCTGGACAGAACAGACTGTCACAGCTCCAGTGTCATCCACAAGATGAGTGTGGCTTAGGCCTGTGGGGCAGGGAAAATAAAAGAGAAGAAACAAATGCATACAGGAATTTCCATCTTGCTTCTTGATACAGACTGTGAAGTGTTAGGATATACAGAATGTGGCTGAGTCCATGAGTTTACAACCAGCCTGGGCAACATAGCAAGACCCTGTCTCTATAAATAAATAAATAAATGATATAGAGAACATGGAATAATAATATCCTCTTAAATGATTGCTGGGGAGCTCAGATAAGATGGTGTGGGTAACAGCCCTTATGTAAGCTACAGAAATCTCTATGAATTATAGTTGTTCTGGAAATGTCAAATTCATTAGGTAAAAAAACTCTTTTAAAAAAGGCATCTTCAAAAGCCAAGCTTCAGTCTAATATAATTTGCCCATGGAAGTAAGTCTGTAATTCACATATTTAAAAAGTGAATGAAAGGATGGTCTTTCATTTAATATCACTAGTTTTTTATGCTTTTACTCAATTGTTCCTAGTTTGGAGTGCTATCATCTTCTAACCTCTGCAAGACTATTGGGGTATTTTTAAATATATATATCCTCTACCTTATAATCCGATAAATTAAAGAAGTGGCTGGACTTCTTATCTGAAAGGAAAGTCAGGTGTGATTACAGCCTTATGTCCAGAAAGCCTGCTACAAGTGACTAGCCCAGGTTTGGGTCTGTTTCTGGCATAATTACTGTTGGAGGGCTGATGAGAGAAAAGTGTCAATCATGGAAGTTACTTGCCTTTGAAGAGAGGCAATTCCTTGTTCTTTCAGACCTGCAAGCTTAAGGAGCAACTTCCTCTATCTGGTTCACTCTTGGCGCATAATACAATGCCACCTGCAAGTCAGAACTTTCTAATAAATGCCTCTCCCCCACTACATTGTCCAAAAGGAATGTTGAAAATGTAAAAAAAATTAAGATACAATGGAAATATTCTAGAAGACACTACCTATCATCTGTAAAATTTCAAAGCATGTTTAGCGCCTAGCATCTCCTGCTAAAGATGGAAAAAACAAAAAGGAATCATAGGACATTTTATTTTATAAGTAAAATCAGAAGGCATAATAGCCAACCTGGCCAACTTTTGAAAACTGTGGAAGGCAGCAGTGGCTGCTATTGTCTCATTTTCAGATATGAATGGGTGGTTTGCCCACTGTTGCCCTCCCTTCTCTCTTTATATTGTACCACTGATGTTTAGCAGTACTATAATAAATCAATATTTTCATTTTACAGTGTATATCTATGGGATTCTCTCATTTTCATTTTTTAAAGTTATATTTGTTTTGTACTAGAGTTTTGGAAAATAGTTCATATATCGTTGCTTTTATTAAAAAAAAAGTGTTGCTCATTCTATAGCTAAAGCAATTAAGGGATCCATAGTTCAGTGAAAATTTTTTTTGCATGGATATAATATGTCTCCTAAGCCAAAGCAAGTCCTGTCCAATCCACCACTTATGACAATCTATTCTGTATAAAAGCAATAAGTCACATGTCAGAAGGGAGTTGTAACTGAAGAGAAGGATGGCACTTCTCACTGAAAGAAGCCAGAGAGCTCCAGGTCAGGCACTGCATTCCATTCCCTTGGCTGTGTTCCTCTTTGCATGCTTACGCATGATTTCTTCCTTTCTTTCTTTCTTTTTTTTTTTTTTTTAATACCTTTTATCCCAAGCCAAAGTCCAGCCTATCAGGGGCCCAAGGAAAAATAAAAAATGAATGCCCTGTAGTACTTTAAGTTTATACATATTAATGTGGGTTCAATTTGCTATTATCAAGGAGATTCTTTAGCCAGACACAATTAAATGTGAGAGGGACACAAAGAAACATCTTGCCTCAATTTCAGTAAAGATGAGCATGTCCTGGCTTTACCACTAATTAGCTAAGAGACTTAAGAATAATTGAGAGAGGGAGTTAGTTAGCCTCAATGTCTTCTCAAGTCTTTTCCAATGTTAATGTTTTGTGATCTCGAGCCATACAAAGAAACCCAACTAAGTATCACCTATGTGTTTTCTAATGTATCAACTCCTCCTTGGCATCAAAATATGTTGGAATCTTCTTCTGCTCACCTGGCACTTCTCAAAGTATATACTGTGAGGTTTCTGTGAGACGGGAGACTCATAACCCTTAAATCTCTCACTCAGGTCTTTCATGTATCTGTTTGCAGGTCTGACTTCCTATTTAGCTACCTCCTTATGTTGTATCTTGGCCATAGTCTCTGAAGAATTGTCACCCAGACAGCTCTCACTCAAGGTGACCTGACTTAAGATTGCCAGAAAAGAATAACTAATGCCATGAAAATCTGTTTTGTTTACAGCTCTATCTCCAGGGACTAGAACAGTACCTGATATAGAGTAGATGCTCAACAAATATTGCAGAATGAATGAACTCAGAGCTGGTTCCACGTCATCATGCCATGGGCTCCATATAGTCACAATCACACGCTAGATAGGTATCCCCAGTGGTTCTTTTTTCTCACCTCACCCCCTGCCTAACCTTTACTCCACTAACAATGTCTTTATTTTCCTCCCTCTGCCTGATTCCTTTCCTAGGTTAATTTTATACAAATCTTTTATTAACTTGATTAATAATCTAAATGTGCTTTCAATTCAGTGAATAAGCCATTTGGAATGAGCTTGGCTTCCCAGTTATTATGATCCACTGAAACTATAAGGCAAGTACAACCAAAGGATGTTGAGATAAATGATATATCTTTGAACTTGAATTGTTAGGCTCTACCAGTGA
The DNA here is from genome assembly GCF_000001405.40 of Homo sapiens. NCBI lineage: Eukaryota > Metazoa > Chordata > Mammalia > Primates > Hominidae > Homo > Homo sapiens. The sequence goes on from NW_003315930.1 coordinate 60,691, forward strand.
GGAGTCAGCTGAAGGCAACTTTTCTCCACTGGTAACAGTACGTGGCCAGAAAGGGGAAAAGTCTGGCAACAGAGGCCTGAATGAATGTCAAACCCAGGGATTTTTTAAAAATCATGAACTTTACTATATCTGAAATTGCAGTGATGGGGAAAATTAAACTTGTTTTAATATAGAATTTTATTACATCTAACAGATACATAATTTACTATATCACACTTCCTTTAATCTGTAAATATAAGTACCCAAAATAGACAATAAGAAATCAAGGGTAAACATTAAGACATTAAAGCTGCACTACAGGGCCCCTTGTCATTCACAGCAATGCTAGTCCTAGGATGATCTTCTGTTCCCAAATTAGGTGCGATAAGGCATTTGGAAAACAAATTGTCTGAAGTTTGGGAAGACGATAACTCTCCTCAGTATTACCATCAACAGCCTTTTACCGTGGGGGCATAGACACCGTCCCTAGAGTTTTAAGTCCTCCAGTGAATGCTTGTAACTTGTTCCCCTAGGCTCCTGGGACCAAGTTCATTCCATCAAGGGGTGGTGCCAACTGGGAAGTCTGGAGCTTAGAAGATTAGATTCTTTACTTCTTAGGGTCTTAGTTTTGTCAAAGTACCTCTTACCCAGGGAGCTATCCAAGGTGCTGTCTGAAACTCCTTGTCATCTGGTAAAACTGAATCTTTTTTCCCAGTGTCAACATATATTCCTGCCTAGCTTAGTCTCGCCCTCCTGACTTTGTCTAATCCTGACGCCATCTGTGTTTCCCAGTTTGGATTTGACCAGACTACTGCTTGTTTCCAAATCCTGAGATGTGTTCTGAGGCATTCATAACTTGCCCTCAACTAACCCTCTGCCTGCCTCTTGTCTTGACTCTGCCTAGTCTGACTTAACTATTGCCCTCTCCTAAGATTGATTACCCTGCCCCCCATCTGGTTTTTGTGTATCTATGGTACATGTAAGCAAAATGATAGAGATCAGAAGTTAATCAACATGAGAAATTACACCTCAAGAAATTTGCAACTTTTTATTTTTTATTAATATAAATTACCTATGTTATATATACTTTTGAAAAAATAAGCTTTCTAATGAGAAAGCACCTAGTTATACAGAGACTATAAGGAAAAATAGTTTTTTTAGTTTATTATCTTTCAACATGTTTGTTAAAGTTAATTAAATATTCAGCTACTGTTGGCAAGATTAATATTATTATTGGAGTATATATTTGCATAAAGACTTTAGTCCCATTCACAATTTTTAGTTGAAATAAAGAAAAGAAAATTGTTTTGACTATAGTGGTGGACAACAATTCTGGCAATTGGTGCTAAAATTTATTTGTTAAGATACACTTTTTAAAAATTTGAAATACTTTAAACTTGCATACAGTGTCAAAACTTGCCTTGAAGTTAATATATTTTACTGTAATGATAATTTATATTTTATAAAAATACTGTTATATGCTTTCATAAAAATTATCCTCCCATCCGATTTCCACTACAATGTGTATGTTGTCTTTATAAAGAAAAGCGAATCCATATTAATTTAGAGGACTGTGGATATACATCAGGTGTTGTGCAGTTAATTGTGAAACAAGTGCTCTTTGTTTTCTCAGCTTTTTCTACACTGTCTTGAGGAGAAACAAAAGCCTTCAAGCACACCACCCTCTGTGTTCTAGCTATGAAGAGGTTGCTTGCCTTGAGCATTGGCAGTAGTGTTTGTATTGGCATTTAAGGCAGAGCTAATGACTATTTGGAATCATCCACATTCCTTTTCCCAGCCCCTTCTGTGATCAATGACCCACATCTCTAAGACAGCTCTCAAGATTGGGGATGCAGATCATTGTTATTAACAATTTTTTATGTCTGCAGAAAGCAAATAAACCCTCCAGGGATTGAGTTTTTGACCTTGGCTTCTGGCCAACTCCTATCATAGAGTAGAAAATATTATTAACCAGGCACTACATTCTTACTGGGCCCCAGCTGAGCCTTGATTCAATTTAGACTTTAATATAAATAGAACTGAAATGATCAGCTAATCCATTTTAACAGTGAGACCCATTCTAACAAAACCTTACAAGAAAACCTGGTATATGATATAGATAAGAGGAGAGCTAGTCCCTCAGAATGCAAGTCTGGGACTCTCAATCCCCATTACCCTCTCGCTGCTACAGAGTTCTGTCTGAGAACTAGTGACTGTCCACTAACTTTTTTTTCCAGATGGGGAAACTGAGGCTCGGAGTGGTTAACTCACTATTCAAGGCCACACAGTAGGGACAAAGTTGAGTCCAGATATTTGTCTCCTGACCACCTTCTACTGTCCTGTTCACAACCTCTGCCTCTTTCTTTCCCTTTCCCTGTTCCCTTGAGGTTGAAACCAGCACATCATGCACTCAGTCAGACTTTTGTATTGAGAGCTCTTTTGGACCCCAAGTGAAAAATACTCTAATTCAAATTGGCTTAAGCTAAAGAAGGACTTTATCAACTAATATAAATTAAAAGTTCAGGGATATCTGGCTTCAAGGGCATGTAGGGGCTTAAAAGTTCCATTCAATTTAATCTCCATCTCTTTGTATGTCTTAGCTCTGTGTTGTTGTGCTGGCTTCATTTTCATGGACCTTCTTCATGGACTCCAGCAGATGGAAGCATCCAACATTCTTATAGCTGATAGTTCTCATGGAAAGAAAACTTCTTTTTCCCAATTGCGCTAACAAAATTCTTATAATTGAGTCTCATTTACCTGAGCTGGCTCATGCATGTATCCCTGGACCAATCACTGTGGCAAAGGGTTTGGATGATCTGATTGGTCAAGCCTGGGTCATGTAACCATTCCTGGAAAGGGAGTTAAGGGTCAGAGTCAGCCCCATTCAAATCATTTGGACTGAAAATAAGGAAGGGCAGATTTTCCAAAGAAAAACCAGGATACTGTTAACCAGAAATGTCAGGGAATGGATACTAAGAAGGCACAGACAACATGCATCTACTGCAACATCCTCAACCCTTAGTTGGTTTCTGAGTTTGATACTTAGAAACAAAGGCAAGAGAACCCATTGCAGAGCTGCCTGCACTCTTGCTACTTCTGTAGGTCCCCAAACTGCTCTCTATTACGAACTTTTAAATTTTATTATTTCTCAATTAGGGAGTATTTAGGAATTTCTTGATTTTTTTAAAAGGCATAGAATTTAAACATATCTAAATTTTTGGAGGCAATGGGTAGAAACATCTAGAAGTCTTGACACACTTTAGAGTGTTCAGTTGGGAAAGTAAAATAAGATCAGACAACTTTTACAGAAGTCTCTAAGCAGGATATGATGTTGACAACCCCAATCTCTCTGCCTTCCTTGGTTCCATTCCATTTACCCCTGGGCTCCTACAGTTAAACCAAGAAAGGCTTATAGCTGGGTCATCTCAGGTATGCACTATTAGACATGTTCTGGGAAGAAAACCCTGCCTTTTAGGTCTCCTAGGTGAAGAAAGGTAAGAACAATGGGGGAAAAACAAGATTGCTTCAGAAAATCACCATTTTAATCCTGTAGTTTCGTAGAAGGATTCTAACTTTGGCTTCAACTAGAGGTATTTTAGGAGGCTGGCTGCTAGAAGCATGGGCATAGAGGTCCAGGTACTTTTCTCGATTCTGCATTGTCTGATTGACTTTGATCAAGTTTCTCCTCCTCTCTGGGCCTTAGCTTCCAAGTCCTGAAAAGGAAAGGTTGAAAATATAATAATAACAAACTTTCACGTAAATGAGTGTTTTCCAAAGTGTAGTAGGCATACAATGGTGGTTCATGAGATTATTTCAGGGGGCATGTGGCCATAGTTTTCTATTTTAATAATTATGTATTGATTTTTAAACATACTAGATTCACCAGTACAACTACTCCCAAGTTCATGGATAATATGCTAATTTTCCTGAAACCAACTAAAATAAATGCTACATTTTTCAAAGATGAGTACAGTTAAAGAAAAATATTAAGTAATATTAGTACCATTGGTGCACAGATATGGCAAAACCCCAAAAGTGGTACATGAATGATAGAATTTGAGGAGACTGCTATTTACGACTTAAATATAAAATATTTTGATAGTATAGTATTACAATGATTTGACAGACGTAAAATCTGAGACCATGCTTTACTGAGAATGTACACTACACCAGGAATTGTGCTGGGCACTTTCCATGCATGATGTTATTAAATTTACACAAACGTCTCTGTGAGGTTCATATTATTATCTCCATTTTACGCCTGAGAAACTAAGGCTTGGAGGAGGTTGATTACATTTCCTGAAATCATGCACTGATTGGCTGAGTTGTTATTCTAAGTAAGAGCTACCTGATTCTAAAATCCAGGCTCTTTCTGTCAGCTACACTATTACCCCAGGACTCATGGTTAACAGAGAGAGTAAACCAGGACAGCATCTTCTGACTCCAAATCCTGGGCACTTGTTCTCTAGAATTCACAATGCTTCAAATTCCAGAGGGGCTTTCTGATGCTCTTCACAGTCTAGACAGGGCTGAACATGTGCATTCAGAATATGAAGCTTCATACGTCATCCATTTCTGCAAATAATCCCTTGCCCTTTATCATATCAATGAGTTGTAGCTCTAATTTTATGCATATTTGAATTTTTTGCATCTTAAAAATTGCTTTTGTGCTCTACAAGTTTTGGGGAGCTGTTCAGTGTGCACTCTAGTAGGGACTGGCTGAGAGCTGGCAGGAAAATCTAGGGAATTATAAATAGGCTCTTCCTCAGAATGTATACAAGATACAAGGGGAGGGGAGTGGGGACTCTGGGTGGAGAGGGGAAGAGAAAAGAGTGAAGAAATGTTGTGGTGAGGAGAGAAGCTGGATGGAAAAGTTGGGAATACACCAAATACAAACTCCATATGGTTTAGTAATTTTATTTCAGGCTAGCTTTAGGTCCAAATAAATCTTAGGAACTATTGGTACAATGACTCAATTGTACATTTCTCATAGGACTGCAGTGATTACTTAAATAGATTAGTATTTAGTGATTAGCACATGACTTGACCCATAATAAGTCCTCCTGCAAATGGTAGCTGTTATAGTTGTGGAGATAATCATGTATGTTGTTGAAAATGAGCCTTTTTAACCTAAATATGTCTTATACTCATGTAAATAGAAGGTGTTTTCAAAACTCATTAAGTTCTGCATTGAAATGATTATGAATCAAAAAACGAATGAACTAGGGGAACATGACAACATGGATGACAGATATCCAGTTAATTTTCTTAATACATAAAGAATTTTTGTAAATCAGTACTAAAAGCCCAACAACCCAATTAAAAAAATAGGCCAAGGATGTCACACACACACACACACACACACACACATAAAAATATCAGTGGCTTTTAAACATACAAAAAGATGTCATCTGGGCATGGTGGCTCACACCTGTAATCCCAACACTTTGAGAGGCTGAGGCAGAAGGATCACCTGAGGCCAGGAGTTCAAGACCAGCCTTGGCAACACAGTGAGACAAAAAGTTTAAAATTTCTCTACAAAAAGTTTAAAAATTGGCCTGGTGTGGTGGCTCATGCCTGCAGCTACAGCTACTTGGAAGGCTAAGGTGGGAGGATTGCTTGAACCCAGGAGTTCAGGGCTGCAGTGGGTCATGATCACACCACTGCAATCCAGCCTGGGTGACAGAGCAAGACTCTGTCTCAAAAAAAAAAAAAAAAAAAGTTCAATTTAACTCATAGTGAGAGAAACCCAAATTACAATGGCACTGGGATACCATTTTTTATCTATCAAATTGTTTAAATATCAAAAAGTTTAGTAACATACACTGTATTTATGATGATGGGGAAAGTGCTCTAATACATTGTTTCTACCAACATAAATTGGCACAACTTCAGGAATGAAAGTGTGGGAACATTTAGCCAAAGTATAAATGGCACATTTCCTTTAACTCAGCAGTTCCCTTTCGAGGGTCTTCTTCCATGGTTATACTCAGAAATCCGTACTTAGTCCTAAATACAAGAAGATTTATCACCACATTGCTTTTAATAGCTTAAGATTGGAAAATTATGCATCACAAGGGCACCAATTAATTAAATTATGGTACATTTATACAATGGAAAGCTATGCTATGTGGCAGTTAAAGATATGAGGAAGCTTTAGATAGAGAAACAGATAGATAATATAACCATCTCCAAGATATATTCAGTGAAGAACAGCATGGCACAGAATCGCATATAGTATGTTAACTGTTTGTAGAAAAATTAAAAGGCTATATCTAAAGATATGTTTGTGTGTGTTTATACATGAATAAAGTATCTCTGGAAGGGTGTCCCAGAAACTGAGGGTAAGAGGAAGGCTTGGCTTCAGTTTCTTATATCTTTGAATTATGTATCATTCTGTATTACTTACTAAAAATAAACCCCACAGAGTCCACATGGAGAGTTGGCCCTGGAACACTGAGAGACATCATTTGTGTGGTTTTTGCCACCCTCTTTTCTTGCTCGGCTCAGCCCACTGCTATGCTGGAGTAGGTCACAGGCCAAGAGCTGGACATGTGCAAAGCCTTCAGGAAGACCTAATCTCAGAGTCAGGGAGAGAAGGCAGGAGCCACAGTGTAGCCCATTTAATCCAAGAGGGTCCACCATGACTTTCGAATCTAAAATACTCTTTTCACAGATAAAGAACTGGCCTGGAACCTGAGGTTGCAGGATGCCCTGTTACATTTGAATTTCAAATAAAAATCAAATAATTTTTTTAGTATAAGTATGTCCCCAGTGATATTTGGAACATATTTACGAATTTTTAATTGCTTAATTTGGCAATCCGAATCGGATCCGGAATCTGGCTGCTTGTTAGGCAGCAGATACTCTCTGAGCCAGACCTTCCTGATTTAGGAAATGAAGGATGATAACTGTCCAATTGTATCATGGGGTTGCTATGAGGCTTAATTATGCCCCAGTGCTTTGTGAATAGTTAAGTGCTCTAAATTGGTCAGGAATGAACACAGTTGCTATCAGTGTTATTGTCATCAAAACCCTAGTCTCCATGGCAACCAACTTATTGAAACCTACTGCCTTGTTTTCTCCCAACTTTACTGTGATTTATTTCTCATAAGCCTTAGGCACATAGTCATACATTTATCTTTCTTACTTAAGGAAGATTTCCAAATAACGGGGACTTCATTTTCAGTGTTTATTGTTCTTGGACTTAAATTTATTGCCTTAATTTTAAAATATCTTTACCTTAGGTAAATGACTGGCAGGGTAGACTGCTTAATTCATTTGGCATGTATTTATTTAACACCTATTATGTTACTTGGCATTAAAGGTAAAGCGCTGAGTAAAATAGACAAAAACCTGCCATCAATGAATATATGGTCTGGCTGGAGTCCAGCTGTGTTAGAATAGAAGGAGGAGAGTAAGCAGATAAGAAGAGTGCTTATCAAATCTGGCTTGACTATTAGAATCACCTGGGGAGGTGTGTAGGCTTTACTGCAGACCAAGGCCTCCCTCAGTGATTCCATGTGCAGCCAAGGTTGAGAACAGCTGGATTAGAAGGACCAGAGAGCATGTTGGCTCTTGAACTCAATAAAGACTATTTTGCAAGTGATGACTTCTCAGCCAATGCGAATGTGGTTACTTACATAGACATGTAGAGAGTGAATACACAAGCCAGATCTGTAAACTGGGAAAAACAGACGGAAGGAGCAGGAGTCAGTTTTAGAGCAGGCAGGACATGGTATTAGACTGCAGTATTTGAGAAGACCCAAGACTGCCTAAGTAGGGGTTTCCAAACCATCCCTGAGTTCAGACATCAAGCTTCAGAGGCTCATGGAAGGAAGGTTAACTGGGAGGAAACAGACTTAATAGGCAAAATTGCCCTGGACAACAAATGGCTATATAAGACTATTCTGCCTACCTGGTGATCACAGCCATTCTTCTTTGCTCTGCTAATAGATGGATTTCTGTATTCAATTATGTTTGGAGAAAAAAATGTTTTATATTCATGAATCTAGATTAGATTGCTCATTTTACAGATATCATGAGGTTTACCTTCATTTAAACTCTTATTTCTAATCTTACGCTCCCACCATCGTAAGTCATATCTTCTCTATAATGCAATGAAATGAAATGTGTTTACCTCCACTGCTACGTTTTCTTTTTCAATGGAATATTCTTGTTCCTACTTGCTTTTATCCTTTATAATAGATGTAAAATGCAGAACTTGAAATGTGAAAGTCCAAATCAAAGCAAATATGTATGTGTACCCATACATACATACACACATATGTATATATGTGTGTGTGTATATATATTTATTTATGTATCTGTACTATAGTGAAATTTTCATAGGAACTCCTATTTTCTTCTTGCTTAAATGAAGCTGAAAGGTATATAACTCTTTTGTTTGACAGAATTGCCTTGCACAATACATGAGAAAAAATATTCAGCCATGCTGATGGCAGTGTTCTTAGCAAAACTGGTAAGATAGCATCTCTTGTCTTGTGAATGGACACATATTTTATGGAAGGAGAATACCTTTTTCATACCAGGTACACCTGGGGAACTTGCAGGGTGAATTCAGTTACTCATTATCTTCTGATGTCATCATCATCCACATGTATTTTAAATACAGGGACAGTTTTTTTTTTTTTTTTTCTTCAGATGGAGCCTTGCTCTGTTGCCCAGGCTGGAGTGGCAGTGGTAAGATCTCGGGTTACTGAAACCTCCACCTCCCGGGTTCAAGCAGTTCTCCTTCCTCAGCCTCCCAAGTAGCTGGGATTACAGGCACCAACCACCATGCCCGGCTAATTTTTTTTTTTTTATTTTTAGTAGAAATGGGGTTTCACCATGTTGGTCAGGCTGGTTTTGAACTCCTGACCTCAAGTGATCCACCCACCTTGACTTCCCAAAGTGCTGGGATTACAGGCATAAGCCACCGCACTCGGCCTAAATACAGGGACATTTCTATGTTTAGAAGGAATATCTTCCCTACCTGACAAATGATGTAGTGGAAAATGTGTTCTGAGAACTGATCTTTGGTAGAACAAACACTCTCTATCGGGTAATGCAGCCTTTTCTTATATTTTCATCCTTTGTTAAATACCATATAAAGTGAAGCTCCCTTTCCAAATATTATGTGACCTTTCATTGTGGGTTCATCACTTGGTTTTCTGTTGCTGGTTGCTAAGGTAAACTTCTCTTCTAAAACTGCCACTTGGGCCAGCAGGGCTTAAAGCTACACCCTATGACAGACCCTATGACAAAGGGTGGAACAAACATCTGTGGTTGTGGTTTCAAATGTTGGCAGATTGTTTACACTGGAGATTGCCTCCTGGCATTTGTTTTGTTTTTGCCAGGCTTAATGCTTTGTAATCTTTTAAGACTACTTTTGCAGTGTTAGCTATGATATGAGGATAATTTCCCTGTTGTCAGGGAGAACCAAAATGGCATTCAAGACGGCTAAGCAATGCTGACCTCACCATTTCTCCATGTATTGCTGATCTCTGCACTTTGGGACTCCTTGAAATTTGAGGCTGATAAAACTATAGCTCTCTTTAATCTAGAAATGTCACACACTGAAACATTTTCTAAATGCTTCCCACAAACTCTGCATTCCAGAAAGGCAGAGAATTGTGCATTTCAACAATCTTTTGTGTATCCTGACATAGTGAGAATTTGTATTTCAGAAAATATAACAGTAGAGGTATATGTGAAAATAATAACTGTGGTGTGAGTTGCCAGCAAAGTTACAGTTCTCATTAAATATTATATTTCCTTGAATAACAGCAAATTGAGTAATTTGCAAGAAATTGAAACCTAATAGGAGATTTCCATAATAAAAAAGAGTTTTAATGTAGCTTTATATATAAACATGATAAAACAAGACTACCATCAGGAAGAAGTTTACCCATTTATTTAAAAATATAGAAAGCACATACTAGGAGACAGGCAGATATAGTGGGTACCCCTATATGCTTAAAATCCTAATGAGGAATGTGGACAAGTAGTCAGACAAATAAAAATTAAAGTTATAATGCTGATATTAAAAGAAGACTTAAAAAAGACATCTAACCATGTTTGGAGGTAGAGATTAGCAAAGGCTGCCTGAAAAAAGCAGTATCTAAACAGGTCCACCATGTACAGTTGTATAGGTTGCACACTGCACAATTTTACATGGTAGATATGTTAGGCTAAGACCATAATGAAGTATAGAGTGAGCTAAGAAGGAAGTGAGCAGTAGTGGCATGGAATGTAGGAGGGAAGGGATATGAAAGAGAGTATCCCAGATAAAGGAAACAGCATGTGGGAAGGCCTGAAGCAATAAAGAGCCTGGCACCTTAGCTTAAAGGAACTAAAAGAAATTCTGTAGCTGCCATGTAGGCTGCAGAAAAGGGTGTGGTTAAATATGCGAGCCAGAACACCAAGGCCATGTAAATTGAGGACAATGGGGACCCCCTTCAGGTGTTTTAGGCTGGGAAATGATGTGAGCAGATTGGCATAACAGAAATAACACTCTGGCTGTAGTGTGGAGATTAGATTAGACTGGGGCAAGACTGAAGCAGATAGACGTATCAGAAGGGCATTGGAATAATCCAGACAAAAGATAGTTTTTGTAAGCTGGATCAGTGGAAGGAACTTGAAGGAATGGTTGACTTTGAGAGAAATTTTCAAAATTCAGTTATTGAGATTGATAGAATTTTGGAGGGAGATGGAGGAATCAATGAAGACACTAAGATTTCTTGATTGATCACTAGATAGCTGGGGGTTCCATTCTCTCAGATTTGGGAGAGTAGGATTTGGGAGAAAGAGAATGAGTTTAAGTGCCTATGGCATGTCCATGTGGAGATGCCCAACAGAAAGATACATGAGTCTGGAAGTGATAGGGGATCAGGCCAGAGTGAGAGACTTGGGAATTACCTCTGTATAAACGAAGCTGGAAGGCATGGGAGAAGTCAGTTAAGTAATTTGGATGCCTATAGCAGAAAAAAACTAAATAATGGTTTAAATTGGGATTTGTTGTTTTTCTTTCCTAGTGAAAAGTGCAGACATAGGAAGTCCAGACTGGTTAGAAGACTCAACAATATGATCAGGAACCCAGCTCCTGCTATTTTTACATCCCACTCACAGTGATAATGTCCATTTTCAGGGTTGCCTGCTAGGATGAACAACACTGTCAGTTTCCCCAGAAAACATGTCCTGTTCCCAGGACATAGGACTTTAAATTTAATTTAATTTAAGTTTTTTTTTTCTTTTTTTTGAGACACAATCTTGCTCTCTTGCCTGGGCTGGACTGCACTGGTGCAATCACAGCTTTCTGCAGCCTCGACCTCCCCAGGCTCAGGTGATTCTCCCACCTCAGTCTGCTGAGTAGCTGGGACCACAGGTGCCATGCCTGGCTAATTTTTCTATGTACTGTAGAGATGGGGTTTTGCCATGTTCCTCAGGCTGGTCTTGAACTCTTGGGCCCAAACGATTCTCCCACCTCAGCCTCCCAAAGTGCTGGGATTACAGCTGTGAGCCACTGCACCAGTCTGGGACTTTAAATTTTAAAACTAAGAAAGGCCCAGGCTAACTAAGATGAATTCTTCACCCTAGTCACCTCCTGTTCTTAAAGTGGCCATTGCAACTCCAGTCCATCGCATGCACACTTCAGACAGAAAGAGGGAGGAAAGGAGAGGACAAAAGAAACCTACTAGCTGAGTCAGCCCCCCCTTTGAGGAGCTTTCCTGAAAGCCCCATTCAACAACTTTCTCCATCTAGAACTTAGTCACTGGCTATCCCAAAGGCAAAGGTGGCACAGCAATGTCATTCTCTTGGCTGGGCATATTGCCAGCCCCAATCAAATTGGGGTTCTGTAATGAGGAAGCAGGAGAGAATGGATATTAGGGAGGCAATTAGTTACTGCTATGGTAAGGAAGAGTCATCAAAGTAGAGAAGCTAGACCCAGACCCAATGAAATACTAACAAGTAAGAGACTAACAAAGGTAGAGAATACCATGGAGAAGATAGAGGAGTAGCAGATAGAAGGTAGGGGCAAAACTATTAAAGGGGGGGATCAAGGAATCCAGAGGAAAAGAACATTTCAAGATCACGATGTTGATGCTGCTGCCATGCGATTTTATAAATAAGGGCCACCTCTAAGGTGAAAAATGTCACAACCTTCCTGTAGAAATTCCCCTTACTCCCCAAAAGCCAAACACCCCAGATGTGGGAGAAGTTTCTGAGTCAACTAGGAAGGAAGAAGTCGGACATGATCTGTCCCATGTGGTCTTCTCCCAGGACCAGGCAGATATTGCTAATCAATAGTGACACTCTATTCAGGGCATCTCCCCAGGCCTCACTGTTTTCTTCCATTTCCATCCTAAGTGGCACTAGAGAAAAAAAAATCTTCATCAAGATCCCTTTATTAGACATCAAGGTCTCATCCAGCTTCACCCTATTAAGGTTCTCTGGAGGTTCTGTAGTTGTCGGCCAAGCTTTGTCTTTATTTGTGAGAGGAGCAAATTTTTTCTTATAAATGAATTTGAAAAGGAAGAGATTTTTCTTTTTGGAGATAAGTATTGTATAATAATGACAGATTGCGTAATGAATTTCCTGAGGCAAATGATATTGACAAGGAATACTGAGAACACCGAAAATTCAATTTCCACATCAGGAAGAAAGGACTTACCCCACCCATGACCCTGTGTGTTGGGATAGCTTGGAAGTTTGTACGTGGTAATTTTGTGCTGCTCTATAAATGCAGGCTTTCCTATTTCTTTAAGCAAACCTATATTTCCCCAGTGCAAGAGCCTCTTTGCTGGTCTAGAGAAGGTTTCATTCTGGGAGGGGTTTCTTACCGCTTGGGACCAAAATAGGATGACAGTATCTAGTTGTTCCTTTTCAATTACAGATAATTTTGCCCACCACACTTTAGAAGTGGGACCTGCCTATAAAGTTGCATTGCAAATCAACCATCCTCAGTATGCTGGCTTCTGGGGAGATTTAGATGTAAGCTTATACCTCTTGGGTCTCATTCATCCTCTTATCCATGGAAACTAACCAAAAGCCAGGAGTTTCATGTACTTTCATTGAATGAAAATGAAAAATTTCTTGAATCTGTGTCATATTAGGGGCTTCACATGGCAAGGAGAGGGGTGAAGAGAAGCCATTCCCATAAAAAACATGCACTGAAAAGACATATGCCTTGCGAAACTCCATGGGGAAACCCTTTCTAATTCAGCAGGAAGATTTGGAAGCCCGATGGACTTGTTTATGTTACATGATATGAAGTACCTTGTTGTCTGGCAACTGGGGGCCCATATACTTTATGGAAATGGATTGTTCATGACATGTACACATTGCAAGTTAGTAAATACTTATTAAGACATTGGACTGAAACTGTGGACTGTGCCTTGTACAAGCTGGTAACTAGAGGTCTCTGGACCACCAGTGCTGCCCTTCTGCAGGTGGCTCTGTAACCCTTTATCTTCATGTTGCCCCACTTACCACCCTTTGGCAGGATTTACCAGTAATATTTGATAGCATCCTCTGAGCCCAAGCCTGTGGGGTCTCTGACAGCAGTCAGTAACCAAAGTGCAGGTGAAATAATCTTATTTTGTATTCCTTGATTCTAAGTTGCACCATAGATTTGCTAACATCCTTTTAGGGAGTGGGGAGGTGCACTATAGATCAATTGTAAGACATGCCCTAATTTTAGAAATCTTGACATGTTTAAAAGTCTTTTAGATTTGAGGCACTGCAGTAGAAAAATTAATCAGATTATTGTGTTATCAGTAGAAATAATATTTGTGGAGAAGCCCAAATGAAAGTCCATATAGATTTATCCATACCTTCAGGATCCCACTATAAGGAAAAGGAAGAAAAGGTTGTTTTCCTGCTGTAAGAAAATGATATTATGAAAAGATAAATTAATAAAGGAGGCAGAAAAGGAAATATTTGGAGACAGCCTGGTGCAGGGGAAAAGGCATGGACTTTGTGCCTCAGCTTGGTTTACTAGCTGTTTCCTTGAACTGGTGAATTAATTTTTGTCAATCTCTGTTTCCTTATTTGTAAAGTGGCAATTTCTACATCATAGGATCATTTGACAGGCTTAAGGGAGAAGAACATGTGTGAAGAATCTAGTACCCAGAGTACAACAAATGTTAGTCATTTTTGAATCTTTGTTTCTTACCAGATGACTTGAGCTGAAGTCTTAAAAGTTATGTTCATCATTTTATTAAAATTATGATTAATATAATTAGCGATTTATTAAACAACACAAAATAATAGTAAAATTGGAAACTTCAAACAGAAGATGAGAATACTTTATGTGAGTCATAAATATTTGTGATTTTTTTCTTACATAGTTTCAGATCAGACCATTCTCTGCCAGAAGTAATCAGTAGATTTATAAATCATTGTGAATCTGATTAATTGAGAAAAAAACTCAGATATTAATAGTCCCAAAGATTAAAAAATCATTTTACATTTAAGGAGTGCTATATTATTTATTTTCTAATAACACGATCAACTTTGAGAACCCCATACCCATTGTATTTTCTATACATTTTGAGAAATTTGACTTTTTCATTTTTTTGAAAGTCTTTGATATGCAAAGAAAATAACACTCCTTCAAAATGTAAGCTGATGGCTTATACATAATTGAGGATGCAGTTCCACAGAGGCATCTTCTCTCCACGATAGAAATCTGTTCTTTGCAGAAACTTCATGAACATTTGCTGGATGCTTTGCATGTATTATTGTCCAGGCTGCTTTGATTATCTAGTAGATCCCAGAGATGACTGTCATAGCATAAAAAGACATGCCCATAGCAGTAGAGCAGGCACTAGGGAGAATAGATCCAGTCACAGATACTTGGAAGATCTTCTACATAGGGGGCAGAAGTTGGTGTCAGAAAGGTAGGGCAGGCCAGGCGCGGTGGTTCACGCCTGTAATCCCAGCACTTTGGGAGGCCGAGGCGGGTGGATCACCTGAGGTCAGTAGTTCGAGACCAGCCTGGCCAACATGGTGAAACCTCATCTCTACTAAAAACACAAAAATTAGCTGGGCGTGGTGCCGGGTGCCTGTAATTCCAGCTACTTGGGAGGCTGAGGCAGGAGAATCGCTTGAACCTGGGAGGTGGAGGTTGCAGTGAGCTGAGGTTACGCCACTGCACTCCCGTCTGGGTGACAGAGCAAGACTCTGCCAAAAAGAAAGAGAGAGAGAGAGAGAGAGAGAGAGAGAGAGAGAGAGAGAGAGCACAAGCACAATGGGCAGCAGGTAGAACAATAGCAACTGGTATCAAGGAGGTCCAAAGTGAGATGACGAGGTGGGGTAACCATCAGAAGAGGATGCTGATCATCTAACTGGACATAGGAGCACTAACATTTATTAAGAACTTGGCTCTGTGCTAAGTACTTACATTATCTTATTTAATCTTAAAAGACTACAAAATTGGTATTTTAACATCCTCACTTTACCAAAGAAGAAAGTGAGTTTCAGATAATATAATTAACTTGCCCAAAGTGACATTGTTTCTAAGTGGCGTGGCCAAGATTTGAACCAACATCAAGTTGATGTGATAGCCACATTCAACCACTCTACCATACTGTGTCCACAGCAGGACCTGATCCAGGGAGGCAGACAGTTAAGGCATTCAGAAAATTGAGTGGGAAGATCCTCGTTTGAGTTCAGGGACTAGACTTCAGCCCTGGGAAGGAAGCTGCCAAAAAGAAGCAGTGTCCTTGTCTTAGATATGCAAGGCACTAAGCTCTAAACAAAAGACAGACGTAGGCATTGCTGTCAGACCTGCGTCATCAGATTTCAGCCAGAATCACATCAGGAGTAAATATGCCAGATTCCACTTGAAATGATGATTAGCCTTGGGTAAGAACCAGAGGAGCTTAGCTGTGAGGAGGGAGACTGCTTAGCATGGCTAGCCAGGATGGGCCCAGCACTAAAAGCACAAAGTTGTAGACTTTAACGTCAAAGGGCCAATTAAAGTGAAACGAATGAGGCCTGTTCTCATATCAGCACTGAAAACGTGCTGCTGGTCTGTTACCTGAACAAATATCTTCTCTGATCCATATTGGAAAAAAGTAAGAAGGCAATATACATTTCTCTCTGTCTCTGCAATAACTAAAAACTCCTGCCTTTGATGATGAGAACAGAAATTAGCAATTAACATGACCATTTACAAAGCATCTTTATATATAGTCATGCACTGCATAATGTTTTGATCAACGATGGGCATATATGATGGTAGTCCCATAACATAATAAAACTGAAAATTCCCTATAGCCTAGTGACGTTGTGATGATTCTGATCCTGTATAGGCCCTAGGCTAATGTGAATGTTTGTGTCTTTGTTTTTAACAAAAAGTTTGAAAAGTAAAAAATGTTACAATATTTAAATCATAAAAAACCTCATTAATAATAAGGATATAAGGAAAGAAAATATTTTATACAGTACCGTACAGTGTGTTTGTGTTTTAAGCTAACAGTTGTTACATAAGAGTCAAATGTTAAAATTTTTTTTAATTTATAAAGTAAAAAGGTTATAGTAAACGAAGGTTAATTCATTATTGAAAAAAGAAAAATATTTTATATAAATTCAGAATAGCCTAAGTATACAGTGTTTGTAAGTCTACAGTAGTGTACAGTAATAGCCTAGTCCTTCACATTCCCTCCCTGCTGACTCACTGACTCACCCACACCACTTGCAAGTTAGTGCCCTATACAGATGTACTATTTCTTATCTTTTATGCTGTATTTTTACTATATCTTGTCTATGTTTAGGTGTGTTTAGATACACAAGTACTTATCATTGTGTTTCAATTGCCTACAGTATTCAGTACAGTAACATACTGTTACAGGTTTGTAGCCTAGGAGTAATAGGCTGTCTCATATAGCTTACATGTGTAGTAGGCTCTCCATCTAGGTTCATGAAGTACACTCTATAATACCTGCATAATGACAAAATCACCCAATGATGATTTCTCAGAACCTATCTTCATCGTTTAGTGATGCATGACTGTACATCATTTTATCAGGTTCTCACAACAGCCCTATAGATATGAAGTCATATCTCACTTCAGTTTTACAGTCTAAAGTCAGCACAAAACGTGAAAATTATACATTGTCAAAATTGCTCTTAAGAGTTCCTTAAATTACAGAGTACAGTGTACATGGTTTTATACGTATTATGCCATTTTTATGTACAACACGGCCAATTTTTCTTTCTGCATGGAAGTATATACTTATTTAAACATTAGATGAAATAGACTCCATTTAGTGGCTATTCATATGAAAAACATATTTCGTATGTGTGTGTGTTGTACTAGTGGTTGGGTTGTTTTTAGTTGGTTTGTTTTTTTCTAAGTACATTGATTTTCCACATATTGAATGTATATGTAAAGTGGCTCTCTTCTTTTATTAGTCTCATTTTGAAAATAAAGAAGCCAGTGATTCAGTTTATGTGTGTGTCATAAGGTTTTAAACCTAGGTTATAATTTACAAATCCTGAGTAGGGTCCACTGTACCACACAGTCACCCCAGCATGATTATCACACCTGAAGGACGGGGCATTCGGCATTCATTAGCTAACAGAATTCCATGGGTGCCAAGAAGCCCCTTGTGACTTGTGCCCTGACCATGCTGCCACAGTGATGGTGTGGGACTTAGACCTACCATGCTGTGCCATGGCTATTGGAAGTTATCGATACATTGAGTTCTGGCCATGCAGATGTGTCCAGCGATTGAACATGACTTCAAGACTCAGTTATTTATGGCTTGGCTTCACTTAAACAGAAAAGCTTTTTCTGTTGTTTTCTGATGCCTGCATGTGACAAGGAGACATGTTCAGACCCCAGGGCACGTGGAGTCTGTACTTTTTGGCAAGATGGCTTAATGATTGTTTTTGATTGCTGACTTACTTTTTAAAAAAATCTATTTGGAAGTTTATGGCCCTTTTCTGACCCTTTATAAAGATTTTATCATCTCTAATAAATGTCTAGTAAATCAGTTCCAATTGCCTAGGCAGCCATATTTGAAGTGGATCCTTCCCTCTCCTCCTGATGCCATTTCTCCAACACTGCGGTTGGTAAATCTCCCCCAGATCCCTGGCCTGATGCATCACAGTCAACCTCCCAATCCCCCTGTGATTTCTGCCCTTCTTTGCCTTTTTCTCATTTGTTTTGTTTACTCTAACATCTCTGAAGCACTGCTTGGTATTCTTATTGGTTTTAAAAGATGAGAAAAGGGAGTATGTCAGCAAGAGTGGTGGAGTAAGGACCTCAGAGAATCCTCTCCCCATAAAAGCAATGAGAACAGCAAAAGAAATGGTCAAAATCAACTTTTTAAGAGCTCTGGAAATTAACCAAAGGCTTATAACATTCAGGAGCATGTATTCAAGAAAAATGAAGGAATACTGTTAAAACACTGAACTTTATGGTGTTCTGCATTATTCCCATTTTGATATTTAAATATATATGGAAATACAAGGGACCCAGAATAGTTAAAATGATCTTGAAAATGAGTATAGGTCGGAGGTCTCATACTTCCCAATTTCAAAACTTACTACACAGCTACAGTAAGGAGGACTCTGTGGTACTGGCATAAGAATAAACATAGATCAATAGAATCGAATTGAGAAGTCCAGAAATAAACCCCACATCTATCCTCAACTGATTTCAACAATGGTGGCAAGAAAATTCAACGGGCAAAAATTAGATCAAAGATCTAAACGTAAAAGCTGAAACAATAAAACTCTGAGAAAAAAAACATAGCTGTAAATCTTCGTGACCTTAAATTTGAGAATGGCTTCTTAGCTACGATGCCAAAGGCAGAAAAAAAAAAACTAAAAATAGAAAATTAAACTTCATCAAAATTTAAAAATTTTATACTTCAAAGGATACCATAAAAAAGGTGAAAAGACGGCCAGGAGTGGTGGCTCACTCCTGTAATCCTAGCACTTTGGGAGGCCGAGGCGGGCAGACTGCCTGAGCTCAGGAGTTCGAGACCAGTCTGGGCAACATGGTGAAACCCCGTCTGTACTAAAATACAAAAAATTAGCAGGGCGTGGCAGCGTACACCTGTAGTCCCAGCTAATCAGGAGACTGAGGTAGGAGAATTGCTTGAGCCCAGGAGGTGGAGGTTGCAGTGAGCCGAGATCACGCCACTGCATTCCAGCCTGGGCGGCACAGCAAGACTCCGTCTCCATTTAAAAAAAAAAAAAGGTGAAAAGACAAAGCACAGAATGGGAAAAAGTATTTGCAAATTTTCTATTCGATAAGATCTATTATCCAGAATGTATAAAACCTCTTATAACTCAACAATAAAAAGACAACCCAATTTTTAAAATGGACAAACGATTTGAACAGACATTTTTCCAAAGTAGATGTACATTAATGGCCAATAAGCATATGAAAGATGCTCTACATAATTAGTCACTTGAGAAATGCAAATCAAAAGCATAATCAGAGATCAATTCACATCAATTCACTAAAATTAAAAAAAAGATGGGCAATAACAAGTGTTGGTGAGGATGTGGAGAAATTGGAACTCTCATACATTGCTGGTGGAAATGTAAATGATGCAACCACTTGAGAAAGCAGTTTGGCAGTTCTTCAAAAAGTTAAACATAGAATTTCCATGTGGCCTAACAATTCCACTCCTAGGCATACACCTAGGAGAAGTGAAATTTTTATATACAAAAACACTTGCATAAAAATGTTAATGGCAGGATTATTCATAATAGTCAAAAAGGAGAGGCAATCCAAATGTCCATCAACTAATGAATGAATAAATAAAATGTGGTAATCCATAAAATAGAATATTAGCCCCCAAAAAGAATGAAATTCTAATATATGCTACAACATGGATGAACCTTGAAAATATGCCAGGTGAAAGAAGCTAGTCACAAAGGGACACATATTATATAATTCTATTTATATAAAGTTTCCAGAATAGGCAAGTTCAGGCAGACAGAAAGTAGATTTGTAGTTTCCAGATGCTAGGGGTGGGGAGAATGAGGGATGACTGCTAATGGATACAGGGTTTCCTTTTGGGGTTATGGTGAAAATGTTCTGGAATTAGATAGTGGTGATGGTGCACAAATTTATGAACATGCTAAAAACCTCTGAATTGTATTAAAAGGGTGAATTCTATGGAATGCGAATTATGTCTAAAGTTAACTTCCAAATATCAATTTGATTAAGATGGAATAAATAAAACATTTTTTTACACCCAAAGAAAACTTCGTTAATTCACTCGGTGGTAAAATGATTCTTTTTAAGTAAAAAGAACTCACAGATTTATTCTAGAATAGCAATTTTCTTAGTGACAAGGCAGGGAAAGGCAACATCCTTGACATTAATATCTTCCTCATCCTATATTTTCTAAAACTTCTTCAAAATATACCGTGTTCCTTCTAGTTCAATTTAGCTATAACGTGACCACAAAATATACCCCTACACTGAAGCCACAAGCAGAGATAACAAGTAGTTTCAACTCAAGTGCCAACTCAGATTGATTGGTAGTGGTTACATGCAGCACTATGTTTAGAAGGATTCTAAGGCTGTATCCAGAGCAGGCCTGGAAAACGTAGTGATTAATTTAGAAAATTAGTCTTGAAGTTGGCAGTGATAGTGGAGGTGGGCGGTGCTTGGGCTAATGATTAGGTCTAGGAAAATGCATCATTCTGCTGAGTGGATTGCATCCAATCAGCTGGGTAGATACATCTTTGCATGGACTGTAATGCTGCTAAGAGGCACGTTCACATGGCGTGACCTAAAAACAAATATGAGATCTTTAATTTAAATGCAAAATTCCAATATTTTAAAATAACCCACATTTATGGCTAAGATGTCAAAATCACTCAATGAATAGCACCGACTTTCATCACACAGAATAAAATCTAGGTATTTTAAATAGTACATTTTATATAGTGTGTGCTCTCAAAGGTTCTTGACAAGAGAACATTAGCATAAGCTTATAGTAAAATCTGATCAGGTGAGAGAGAATGTCAAGAGAATTTTTTTATGGCACTCACTGAAAAGCCAAGATAATCACCAGCAGATGGACTCTGTGCACCTGCTTTAACACACATTCACTTAAATTCGAGTTGTACCTTCCAGCAGAACCGTTGCCTACCTCCTTTACATGCTACAGGAGCCTGCACTTTCTTTGGTAGATGAGAGGTGGCTGGAGAATGAACCCTATTTACCTGTCCATACATTGTAAGTCAGCAGTTCTCAAAGACCAGTAGCAACAGTATCACCTGGAACATCCAAGAAATGCAATCTGTTAGAAATGCAGCATCACCCCAGCTCTACTGGATTGGAAACTCAAGGGGTGGGCCTGGGGATGTGTATTTGAACAAGATATCCAGGTGACTCTGGGCTCAACTTTAAGAGCATTGCTTTGAGTTGTCCCTTTCTGGAGTGGGGAAAGGAAAAGGGGAGGGAGAGAAAAGGGGAGGCTGGGGAAGTACCCAGGGAAAATTGAGCCTCCCATGGCAGCAAAGTTGGTATTTGATATGAATGTTGATAGGACATAGCAAGGTCTTTATTTGTTTCTTTCCTCTTTTATACTCCATGTCCAACTCTCTACTTCTTCGGAAAAGGTTTGAGGTACTCACGTGATCTCCCCCAATCCAGCCTGCTTGAAGTCCCTTCTTTTGGGGCAGTAGCAAAGAGTGGGGAAAGAGGATGGTGCTAATACATTCCTCATGCCACAAGAAGCAGCACTTTTTATCCAAAAAGGGTTGGCCTCAAGAGCCCCAGCTTAGAATAGTCAAACCCAACAAGGCCTTCACCTTGGAAATGCACGTGAAGCACTTAGAACAGCACTTGGGCCTGAGTTGCAGTGAGTGTCGCCTGTACGTGGGAGGTATGATGGTGTCAGCAATTGCTGCAAGGGCCAGATTTCTCCACAAGGGTGCCTGGGTTGGCATCTAGAAGCAATTGCTATCTGCACCCAGTGGGCGGTTGCTATGTTAAGAAGATTGCCAGGAAGAGTTAGATCTTGATCTTGAAATCCTTCAGTCGGCAAGAAAGGATCCCTGAAGACAATGCCCTAACTGTGTCCCTCATGTGAGGATGGCCGTCATCTGAGCTCCAGTTAGCCTGTCGGTACTCGCCACGGATATAAGGATCCAGGCTGGGATGGGCATTTGAGACAACAAGCGTGGGAGGACAGGCTGAAGAACATCAAGCAAAACAAAGAGGCTTTTCAGATCCTTTCTCGTAAGAGTTTAGGGTTAGGGAGACCGAAGTGCAGACACAGGGTGGTGGAAGCCACAGGACGAAAGACAGCAGGTTAAATGACAGCCATGAATGTGGGGCCCTCCGAGAAAGCATGAGAATCTGCAGGCCAGAAAGGCCCAGGAGGTCCCCAAAGACCCACAGGCAATTGGATCATTGACATAGGAAACCAGATGGCCAGAGGTGGGTTTGGAAGGCTCGAGTTAAGGTTCTTGGCTTCAATGCCCCACCAACTTTTATAGAAATGCTTTTCATATCTTGTACAGCCAGCAGAAAGCACTTGTCGATATTAGGAGGGTAGAGGGAGAAGGGAAGGAGAATGAACAGAGGAAAAGGAAAGGAGGAGGAGAAGGACGGGGAAAGGGGAATAAGAAGACAGAAGAGAGGAGGAAAAGGAGAAAGGAGGAAACAGGGAATCCGAAAGGAGAAGTGAGGATAGAGGAGAAGGAAGGACAATTGCTAGTCCCAGAGTGTCCAGTGCTTTCCCAGCCCTGTGCTACATGTTTTGCAAGTGTTTCCTCATTTATTTCTCAGAACTATGAAATTTGGTCATGGAAGAGTCAAGGGAAGGAAGTCTTATTCCTAATTTAATAAAAAATAGCTTACAATGTACTTTTTCTGCCTAGGTCCCAAGATCCAGGCTTAGGTAACCAAATCAATTCAGTCTACATAATGATGCAAGTTAAATGCAGATTGAAACATTAGGTAATGGGGAGAGCTATGTAAGGAGAAGGTTGAGTCCACCCAGTTATTCTGACTTCAGTCATGCCGCTCTTCTGATTCTGATGTCCCTCAGCCTGCAGAAACATATGCCTATGGGGACCAGGGAGATGAATGCAATGTGCTAAATGGGCCTGGTGTAAAAGAATAAAAAGCAGAGACACTCAGTGTGAGGAGTGAAGAGGGACTGATGGCAATTATGGCAAAGTGGAGACCACATGCCACCCTCTGAAGAGGCAGCACCACTCAGCTCCAGCCTGTTGTCATCATCTGGTAACATGGTCTCAGTGCTTTGTAATTTTTTCAAAAGAGGCCAGTGATCCAGTGTTCAGGCAACTTTCAGTGGGTTGACAAAATATATCTGCAGGTTTATCTGCCCAGAGATTTACTTAACTGCAGTTACGTATTTTTCCAGGTTGCAAACAAAAATTGATCCTTTTCCTATGTTCCTTTCTCTTTCCAGGCCATTACATTTATGTGGATACCTCCTTTGGCAAGCAGGGGGAGAAAGCTGTGCTGCTAAGTCCTGACTTACAGGCTGAGGAATGGAGCTGCCTCCGTTTGGTCTACCAGATAACCACATCTTCGGAGTCTCTGTCAGATCCCAGCCAGCTGAACCTCTACATGAGATTTGAAGATGAAAGCTTTGATCGCTTGCTTTGGTCAGCTAAGGAACCTTCAGACAGCTGGCTCATAGCCAGCTTGGATTTGCAAAACAGTTCCAAGAAATTCAAGGTAGGTGGAGTTTAGGAGAAAGATATAAGGCCTATTATCTTTGCTTTATACTATTCTAAAATCTTATGAAAACTTCTGACATGGAGGTTAGTTATCTCCTGGATTATGACGTGATGTTTCATAAGATACATACCATAGAAGAATATTAGCAATGGAAATTAACATTTTGTTTATTCCTTAAAAGAGCTTCTTCCCAGATTTCTTTCCCATCTATTTAAATGAGCCTTCTGTAAAAATCTAAATGGGGCTTAAATCAACCTCTTCAATGAAAATAGATTTTCTATGGCTTTAGGGAGTATTCTCATTTCTATAATTTTATTTCATCCTTCTAAATTGTGTGTGCTATGTGTTTGTTTATCTTCTTAATCATTTCTTTGCTACAAATTTTGAACAAAAGATTATAATAAAAGGAAAGTGAAAATACTTTAAAAGAGAAAAGATACTTAAAGGACATGTTCCATTTCCTTTTCAAAGAGGGAAGTTGTTCCTTTGGGAGTCCTGGAAAAGGAAGGTAGCGAATGTAAGGTGAAGCTGGGTGTGGACTGGATAAGGAAGGAGGATGGGATCCAGACACACCTGGCCATGAAGTGTGATGTTTATTGAAAATATTTCATCGGGGACACAATGGAGCCATCATGAAAATATTCCCCATTCCTAATCCGTCTTTCAATTTCCTATCCCATCCCACTTCTTTGAAAGGCTTGAAATGCTTTACTCTCCAATACCCACTGTCTGCTTGGAGTCCTTCCCTGTCAGCCAGTGGTTGAGGATGGAGCATGGGGGCTCTGAGTTCTCTCTTTAACAACTTCTTCCCAGCAGTTATCACCTCCTAAATCTGCCAGCATAGTTGCAGAATATAGGGCTAAAACCACAGGAGAAAAAGTGATTACTTTCAGAAACAGGACCACAAGTGCTACCACAAGCACTGAAGGTGGTGGTGGTTGGGATAGCAAGAGAAGAAAAGACAGCTGACTCTGAGCTTCTATCAGATGCCTTATTTACCTTGAAGTTTTGATGTATGAGTTTATGTGCACATGCGCATGCACACACATATATACACACACATTCTTCTAGTAAAGTCCGTAGTGAAATTGGTATCCAATAGCAATTAGCTGAGACTAACAATCCTGTTTTGCCTTAAGTGGCTGAACAGCTCCAGACTAATAGCTGAAATACTGAACCAAGGAAACATGATGTTTTGAAGTCTAACTCCCCTTCTTCCCCATATGTTGTGCAGATTTTAATAGAAGGTGTACTAGGACAGGGAAACACAGCCAGCATCGCACTATTTGAAATCAAGATGACAACCGGCTACTGTATTGGTAAGTGGGCTTCATTTTCATTAAATCAAATTGTGAATCTTTTTCTAAAAGTTACTGTTGCCAGAGGGAACTGAATCAATCCTAAAGACCAACTATTTTATAGAATGCACTGCATAATGCATACTGGTTTAAATTCTTTGCTAGATTCATTTGAATACTGTATGTTTTTTGTCTTTAGTGTGGGAAGGCTCATTAGAATCTGCCTGTACAGTCTGGATTAATGAAAGAAATATAGATGCAGGAACTGTAACTTCAGAGCTGCCACCTTAACCTCAACACATTCTGATTAAAATAATTTACAAATTGCTGGAAACTCAGCTTTTTGTAGCATGTGCCAGAAAAGCAGACATTGTATTACCTCCTTTCCCTTATTTCTCTCTTGGCACACCACGGCTCTCCTCTTAATAATCACAGTTGTCACTTAGATTTCACTTGAGCAGAGTTGGTTGGCTGTCTCTTATCTGCCAGCTTCCAAGAGGGCATAAAGAAAGGATAAACCCTGTCCTATGGTGGTTCAGTTCCTATTTGTCTACATTGAAGCTAGTTCTGCATATGGCAAATACTGCTGAGGAAGGACAAGCTGTGCAGTGGAGAGGCGCAGGGAGGAGGAGAGGAAATTGGAGAGGACTGAATAGGGACAGTGCACTGGAGCAGGAGTTTCAAGAAGGAGAAGAATTTAGTTAAGTGGAGGTGCAGGGTAGGAAGGCAAGGGTTCTCCATGGCCAGACCCCTGTGGGGAGAAAGAAACAGGGCAGGTTCAGGCAAAGGCAAGAGGCTGAGTAGGGTGTTTGAAGTGAGACCAGGACTGCTAAGGGAGTTTGTGATGGAAGAGTGTGGATGCAGGATGTGGAGCTTGGACCTGCTGAATCATGTGGGTCAGCCAGCAGGGGAGAAGTGTGCAGCTGCACTTTCAGATGACTCCAGCTGCCACGTGGAAAATGAGTTGGGTACAAAGAAAATGCATAGCAGGTGGGAAAACCCCTAGGAAGCAGCTGTGACATTACAGAGGGGGCATAATGAGGGTAATACTGAATTAGCAGTGGAATTGGAAAAAGGCAGTAGAATTGAGAGATTTTTCAGCACTGACAACTCTTGAAGGCTAAATGAATGTGACGGGGAAGAGAAAGGAGAGTCAAAGAATATTCTGAACGACAACAACAACAAAAAAGCCTTTGCTAATTCCCTTACGTTTCACTTGTCTGTTTTGACCTCAATGATATCTCTAGGGCAAGTGAAAGAAAACAGACCATTTTCTGAAGATACAGTGAGGCTCAGGCTCTTTTCCTTGAGCCTCCCGCTGGGCTTCCACCTGGCATCTGCACAGCTTGTGAACGACAGGGAAGTCAGACACCTCTGGTGGAGCGCCACCTGCTGGCTCAGTCAGCTTACTGAGCCTCAGCCTCTTGGCATCCGTAAAATGGGAATAAAAAGCTTCCCTCCTAGGATTCTTAGGAGGAGGAATATCCTGGTTATGAAAATAATTGGTATATACAGTGCTGGACATCCAAAACATGTTAATTGCCTTTCTTCAAATGATGTGGTGACTTCTGATTTGTTTAAAACAAAAGGATGCCAACACTTTTATCTTGTTAAACTCTATGATCACACTCTGACTTCTTTCTTTCTGGGTACTTTATCTGCCTCTCTCCATTGCTCATCTGTAAAATGAGGTTAGTAACAGTGCCTATGTCATGGGGCTGCTTTGAAGATTGAATAAGTTAATTTATGTAAAGTGCTCAGAATGGAGCCTGGCATATTGAGGAATATTTTGCTTTTTATTTTACTCTTAGGCAGCATTTGGCACTGAATGTTAGGGCATTGGCTAGCAGACACTGTGGTGGAAACATTGAAAATGAAAATCTTAGAAATGTTCAGTGCTTGCTAATGTAAAAACACATTGCTGACTACACCAGTCAAGATCCTGGCAGGAAGGAGGAAACAGAGGGTACAGTCAACCTGAGTAATTTGAGGGAAGCTCACTGAAGAGACCACAAAGGTGTGAGTGGTAAAGGAAGCCAGCAAGGAATAGCTCTGTGACCCAGGACTAGTAACAGTGATGATTCAGGAGCTGTTATCTTCTTTTGGTCTGAAAGGACAAGGGAGGAGGAGTTTCCAGTACCTGTAAACAATAGCTATTTGTCAAACAAGGGCTGCTTGACAAGACTTGCCAACTCATGGCGACCTGGCTGGGAGACTGCTGGGCAAGTAAACCCCTGATTTCATTCTCCTTCCACCCTCCATTGGTCGAATCCAACAGGGAGATGGAAGGCAGGGTAGCCCATTGATACAGTCCGGATAGGTCAACCTCTGCAGGACCTATCAGGTGGAGAAGAGCAACGTGGATCCGCAGGGGGCCAGTGGCCAGCACAATTATACTTCCTAGTTTAACTGTGTGATTATAAGGGTCAATGGAGGCATTAGCTTGTGGGTTTCTTGCTCCCTTTTAAGGAACAATTGTTGATGGAGACCAATATATCCATGCAAACATGCCAATGACACTAAGGGTAGAAGAGGGGGATCTGATTATCTTCTCTCTCTTCTCTACTCAGTAGCTGCAAAAGGGACCAGAACCTAGGATATATCTGCCCCACCTATTTTACCTGGGTTCTGATTTATAAGAAAAACAGGGAATTTTAGCATCTCAGACACATGTCCCTCAGCTCTGGGCAACTTGTTCATCATGAGAAGAGAAAGGAATGGAGGACTGGGCCAGTAGATTCAAGAAAGGGTTGTGGAAAAAATTTTCTAGAGCTACGAGCATAACCCTGAACAGCTCTTTGAGACAGAGGTGACTGATAAAAATAGCTGACTTGTACCAAGCACTGACCACATGCCTGGCACTATGCTGGGAGCTCTCCACACTTACAATAGCTCTGTGAAGTGGGAACATTGTCCCCATTTCACATATGGAGACACAGAGGCTACAAAAAGTGGTAAGTCATGCTCCAAGTGACATGGCTAATAAGTGGAAGGGCCATAATCCAAAGGGCCAATGATGAATTAGAATCTTGATTCATTACAGGATCTGTCTCTCTTCTTGGCCAAAATTGTGCAGGGGTCCTGGTAGAAAGGTTGCAGTGGGCAAAGGAAGAGAGAAACTTCTGAATATCTAAGAGCAAACTCTGTAGTAGGATGCGTGTACCCAGGTGTGACTGTGTCTCCATGAAGTGTTTTTGTTTCCCTTCCCCAGAATGTGACTTTGAAGAAAATCATCTCTGTGGCTTTGTGAACCGCTGGAATCCCAATGTGAACTGGTTTGTTGGAGGAGGAAGTATTCGGAATGTCCACTCCATTCTCCCACAGGATCACACCTTCAAGAGTGAACTGGGTGAGCTGGGATCAAATAGAGTCCTTTTCCCAGGATAAATTTTTCTGCTGTCTCCTCCCACTTCCTGCACTGACCTAGCTGTGGCTTCTGTCAACAGGGAAGAGAGGAGGGAGGAGGGTGAGTAGGAACTAAGTAGGAACCAGGAGGTGTGACAGAAGAGTAGGGAAGGATCTACAGTGAGGTAGAGACAAACTGCAGCTGTGAGCTCTGTAGCTAAGGGGAAGGCCATTCCATTAAAAGTTCTCCTTCACCTGTGGCCTAGTCTTGCATTTTCATATTTCCATATTATGCTTTACTTTCTTGTATATTTGTTGTTTAATATTTCTCATTTCTAAAGACAAGGCTGGAAAAATCCTAGGTTACTTTTCACTGAAGATAGATCAAAGGATGGGAATGGGTCCTAAGAACTTCCCAAGTGACAGTGAGGTGAGCCAATACTGATGATTAGCTCTGAATGTGGTGTGCAACAGGCCCCCCTAGTGGCCAAGAAGGCTGCTTCTCTGCAAGGAAAATGGGAGGTGAGGTTGTGTTACCAGCGAGAAGTCAGCTTTGAGGAGAAGTCCTCCACAGAAGAGAGACAAGGGCAAGGGCTTACTTACTTGTGGGTTACCACTGCTCTCACCTGGACCCTGGTAGGCTTTGGAAAAGCCAAGGTCTCCCCACAGTTGTAAGACATTTCATCCTCGACTCCAAGGTCTCCACGGAGTGAGAAGCTTCTGGCAGCTGGCCTTTCAACAAGAACAAGAACAGGAATTTTTATTCTGTTGCAAACAGTTAACTTTTTCTCTTTTGATCCTTTACGCATAGATATTGAGGTAATATACTCATCCTAATAATTTGTTGATGGTGACAGTGTGTCCCCATGCCTGAAGACATAATGACCTTTTATGGTTCTTACCATTTTTCTTCATTCAGTATTGCTTCTCTTCATCTGAATATATTTAACCATGTCTCCAACTCTTTTTTTCAAAAGTGCTCATCCTTCAGCTTATCTTGACTCTGGACAGTCTTCATCCTAACCTTACTGTTCTCTTTGCTCCTATTCTAACTTCTCCTTTATATCCAGAGTCTCAGGTTCAATTCCCTGTAACAGCCAGGCAGACAGTATAAGCAAATGACATGTGGGCTGGGTGAGGACTGCGGCAAACTAGATGGCAGAGACCCTGTGCAAAGGTTACTTGGCTCCAATGAGTTGCTGCTGTGTGAGAATGTAAGCCCGGGTTGCCAGATCTTTTGATGTTTCAAGATCATTAGGAAGGCAGGGGATTTTTTTGTGTGTGTGAAATTTCCCAAATTTTTAAAAGTTGGTGAATATTTTCTAAAATCACAGTGTGGGCCAATAAAACACACTTGCCGGTCAGGCCCTGTTGGCCAACTTCTATTTTGCAACCTTCATTTGACAAGTTTCTTTTACAATACATTCAGGCTTCTTAGAATAAGCTCTTTATAAGTAACCACAAATAAAAAGACTGGAGTCTCATGGAGTTGCCTGTTTAAAACAAACGCAACTTTAAATCTAGCATTTTCATTAATTTGACCCAGCATTAGATATGATGGGGTAAATGACAGTTAAAATGACAGATCCTCTATGGCCCCTTCCCAGCTTCAAGGAAGACGCTTTCAAGAAAGGAAAAGGGATTTCTACCACAAATGGATGTTAACAAAGGGTGGTATGTGTCAAGTGCAATAAGAGTGGTCTCCTTCCTCCATCAAAAAAGAAAGGTGTTGGGAATTCAGAGACAAAAGAGGTCCCTCACTGCTTGGATGTCCTAGAAGACATGATAAAAGAAGTAAACTGTATTTCGGGGATGGGTATGATTTTGACAAAGATGAGAAAAAGCTAAGAGCAATGATACAGTGGTTGTGCTACAAGGGGTGGATGGTGGGAGAGATGTGGCTGAGAAAGCAGTGCAGGGGCAAATTCTAAAATGCCTGGAATGCCAGGAAAGAGATTTTAACTTTATTTCATTGACAATGGGAGGCCACACAGGTGTTTGGGCAGGGGAGAGACACCATCACAGCAGTGTATTTAGATGGATTAACATGACAGAGATTATTTCAATAGATGGAGAGTAAAAAGGTGGAGCAAGAGTACAGAAGAATCCCCCAGAAACTGTTTCTTCAGATGCATCTGGGGTCACTTACATAAGAAATTGAGATAAGACAAAAAAAAAAGCATGTTTATGTACTTCCTACCTTTAAAAGCAAAGCAAGTTTCAGCCCTTTTTTTTTTCTTTTTTGAGACAGAGTCTTGCTCTGTTGCACAGGCTGGAGTGCAGTGGTGCAATCTCAGCTCAGTGCAACCTCCACCTCCCAGGTTCAAGCAATTCTCCCTGCCTCAGCCTCCCAAGTAGCTGGGATTACAGACACCCACCACTTTGTCCAGCTAATTTTTGTATTTTTAGTAAAGATGGGGTTTCCCCATGTTGGCCAGGCTGGTCTCGAACTCCTGACCTTAGGTGATCCGCCTGCCTCGGCCTCCCAAAGTGCTGTTTAGCACTTTTGACAGTGACAAAGGATTGGAGTTTTTCTACGGATAGCCCATATTTTTACCTTATAAATAAGTGGCCCGTCCTCATTTGGGGCCCTTTGTAGGAACCACACTATAAATAAGTGCTCTGTGTAGAGTGAATGATAACCAGTCATGGCAAAGTAATCCATGAATCTGCATGAGTATTTTAAAAGACAGTTGGGTTAACTCAAAATAATAAAATGTCACTAACTCTGGAGAGCTTTATGTAAATGAGTAAAGCAACTAACAATCTCTTGGGGTTTCAGGAAAGAAAAGCCAGATGACTTTTTCTTCATGTGTGACAATAGGCTAGTTTTGCGATTGTTTTTCTGTCATATCTTAAGAATCTAATACAAGGAACAGAAAGGATCTTGAAAGGCTGATGCATCAAAATGACGATTATTTCTTGTGTCATTATCACAGTTGCACAGAGAGGCAAATTTAACAATGGGGAAGTGTTAAAGAACTTTTCCCAAATCATTTAAAAATTCGTTCCAAAGTCAAACCCTGTGGGTAACCAATGTTATGATTCAGTGATTATTCAGTGTTTCATTTTTCATCCTCGATGGCAAGAGGTAGCTGGCTGGGGAGAACATATATTTCTTGGAAGAGGCAACAGAGCAGTGGACTAGTGTCAAATCATCCATTTGCTTGTGTTACCTGAGTGCAATTCATCCTTTGAAGAGTGTAATTCTCCTAGTCCTTCCTCATGCCCATCTGAATCATAGAATATTCTGACTATATTTGTGTCCCTAGGGATAGAGAAAGAGCCCCAGGCTAGGAGTCCAAATACTTGTGCTCCAGGCCCAGTTATCAGAGTACTTTATTACCTTGACTAAACCCTTAATTTCTTAGTGTCTCCATTGATGCATCTGCAAATGAGCAATTTGAATTCAATGATCTCTAAGATGCGTTTGAGTTCCAATATTTTACTTTTCTCTCCTTGCCTAATGCTATTTACCAAAATCTCCAAGTTCACCATTCAGTGAGATCTATTTCAAAATGGCTTGAGTCCCTCCTGGATACTTATAAGCACATAGCATTTGGCATTAGAAAAAAAAAAAAAAAAAGAGGACTAAAGGGACCAAGGGGTGAGAAAAAGAGGCCCTGGATTTTCTAATGTCTTGACCAGAAGGGTCAAGACGTAAGCATAGTGGTGTGGTCATCCTTGAGAAGCACTAAGACTTGCTGGTAGGGTGCTGTCACCCCTGACATAAGTACTTGCCTCTCTTCCCTCTTCCCCTCCCATCTCCCTCTCTCTATTTTCCCATTCTTCCTCTTCTTCCTTGGCTATTCTAGAATACTTCCCCAAGGCAGGCAGCTTTTCCTACTAGCATTGCTTAGTCCCCATATGTCAATACTGTGGGCTGAAAAAGAAGCTGACCTGAGGGCTGAAGGGAGGAAGTCTAAGAAGACTACGCACCTTCCAGCCATCCAGGGGATTATATAGTAAGTCCAGTCAGAGCCTCAACACCAGAATGACGCTTCTTCATTGATCATTATTCATTCCTTCACTCATTCAACAAACACATAATAAGCACTTTTTACATGTATTTATATTTACATTCTTGCATACCCTGGTGACATAAAAAAAGTCATTCTGGATAGAGAAAATATGGCACATATACACCATGGAATACTATGCAGCTATAAAGAAGGATGAGTTCATGTCCTTTGCAGGGACATGGATGAAACTGGAAACCATCATTCTCAGCAAACTAACACAGGAACAGAAAAACACCACACATTCTCACTCATAAGTGGGAGCTGAACAATGAGAACACATGGACACAGGGAGGGAAACATCACACACCAGGGTCTGTCAGGGGATGGAGATAGCATTAGAAGAAATACCTAATGTAGATGATGGGTTGATGGGTGCAGCAAACCACCATGGCACATGTATATCTATGTAACAAACCTGCACAGTCTGCACATGTATCCCAGAATTTAAAGTATAATTTTAAAAAAATGATGCTTTAAAAAAAAAAACAGTCATTAACCTCAAAGAGTTTACAGGAACCAACTTTTCCCAAAATGTCCTTCCCTATAATACCAGTTTTTAGTAAACTAATCCTTGTATGGGACACAAAGGTGATATGTGGTCAAATAAACTGGGGAAACTCTGCATTAAAGAAAGCTAAACAGATTTCTTTATTTCAGGATTTCTCACCACCTGTAATATAGTTCTGTGCTCATGTACATTATGGCATTTCTCAGATTATCTGAATACCAAAATGCTACATAAACTTGCAAGCATGCACAGTAATGTATGACTAATAGAGGTATGAAATAAATGATATGAAACCACAGACAAAAGATTACCTTGGTTTTGGGGTACAGAGAAGGCCCTCTTAAGGAAGTAATAGTAGAACTGGAATTTGGCCAGATGCATAAGGGGGAGACAAATGTAGCATGTGCAAAAGTGTAGAGGCATGAGAGTGGATGGTTTATTTTATATTTGGAGAGCATTTGAGAATCCCAAGGTATGTGATCATGGCAGAGGAACCCCTGAGTTCCAGGCTACATTCCTACTTATGATTAGCAGGAAGCCTGACTGCCTGCATTCCACTCTTTCCTGCTATTTCACTCCAAGTTCTCTTCAACCTTTGGACTAATATTTTGTCCATTCATTAGCCAACATCCCCACTCAACACACACACACACACACACACACACACACACACACACACACACACACACAGTCCTCATGCCTGGAGTCCTCTGTAAGTCTTTCCCCTATAGAGGATAGGGCCAAAAATGATGAGTTCAAAAGACTCTAAAATATTTTATTTGAAAAGCTCTGCCCATAGGACTCAAAGATTTGATCCGTATCATTCTTTAAAACAAAACAAAATAAACCCTCCAATGCTCTAAAAAGGAAAGAGGTTCCCTCTCTTATCATATTTGCTTTCTACCGCATATATTGATTTCCCCGGAGTTCTATCAATTTGGGTGGCAAAGTAAAGATTAAATGGTTCAGATGTCTGCCCGCAACAGCAGATTTTGCTCTATGTGAGTTCATCTTGTGTTCATTCATATACCGGACGCAGCTTTTGCCTTTGCTTTCAGGTAAAAACTGGAGAAACAGCACGTAGAAGGGAAGCTCATTGTCTACTTAGGAATTTCAGAACTGCAGAGAAGGTTGAGGGAAGTCTTCCCAGGAGAGTGCTAGTCTTTGTGTTGTAGAAAAGCAAAGAGTGAATGTAATTTCTGAAAACTACAATGTGATATGAGTTTTCCTTCATTTCCTTGTATGTTCCTAACAATCTGCCCCAAACATTGAGTCAAGGTTTTTAATGAGCATTGTTCCCCCAAATTAGTGTCTGATGATGGAAATGACTAAAATAATGTAGTAAGAATTGTGATAGGACATCTTTGGAATACTGGAGGGGATGTGATTTTTATCCTGTATTTTCTTAATTCTGATTCATCACATATGGGTTTCTTTCTTTATTCATATTTTATGAAGTGAAACAAAATCTTTCAGGAGGTAACCTACTGACAGCTCAGATCATTACTGTTTTCTACATACCTTAGCAAAAAAAAAAAAAAAGATGATTGCTGGAAAAATAATGAGGGATGCATCTCTTTGCTAAGATTTAAAAAACCAAGCCTGCTTGTGGTGCTATTATGGAAGAAGCTGGACAAGGTTTCAAAATCTAAAATAAGGTTAGAGTTATTTAATTCCATCAAACATCATGAGATGGTTGGATCATCTCTCCATGACTCGTGACACTCTTTTCTCATTTCAGTTTGGAATGAGCAAGAGTCATTTTAACAGGACTTATTTATTTACTCTCTGCATTGATCCATTTGGTGCGTGGTGTAAGTACTCGGTAGGGAAGCAGCTTTCTTAATTTTCTTACCATTTTCTTTGTGCAAGGTCTGCTGGATTTCCTTTCTCTGCCCTTGGATGACTTACTGTGGCTTTCCAGTTACTTTCAGGTATTAATAAACACCTTCATTTTCAAGGATTAGATGCAGTCAAGTCACAACTGCAATGTCTCATCTAGTTCAGATCTTCCCAGAGACTGGGCCACACAACAGCAGTAGAGAGAAAGGTTTGTGCTTTGTCTCTTCATACTTCACCTTTTTCTTCCCTACTTCTCCCTCTTACTGTACTGCTTCTGGCTGCTTCAGAGTTGGGAGGCAATGGGCAGGGTGGGGATGGAACAGAAAGGCAAAGGCTAGGGACAAAAGGTTTCACTTGCCTCTTGCTATTTAATCTAGAGTTGATGACCTTCATACAGCACATGGCCAAATTCTGGCATTCCTGTCATGGCCAATGGGGGATCCCACTTTAGTGTTGACAGACAGGGATGAGCAACTCTCTGGCTGACCATCTGTGAATCCTGCTTAGCTCATATAAGTCACGGTATGCCCTACCAGCTCCCTTCTAATGGAATTACCGCACTGGTAGGCAGTTCTCTTGAGAAGAGTCCTTTTAAGGTACTGTAGCCCAGCTGCCTTCTAAATTGCCCCCTCAAACTCTGGAAGTGCATTTCACTGGCAACAAACTCCTTTTTCTCTACTCTTCCCCTACGGGTCCCTATAGTCAGTTTTTTGCCTTTAGATGTATGCACCAGTGCCAGGCTCCATCTCTGCATCACACACACACACTCCAGTATCACTGATCAACCTTTTTCAAGAACTCTGATTACTTTCATCTCAAGGTCCAGAGCAACTGCAGAGCTCAGAAATTTCTGCTCAAAA
Organism: Homo sapiens; assembly: GCF_000001405.40. NCBI lineage: Eukaryota > Metazoa > Chordata > Mammalia > Primates > Hominidae > Homo > Homo sapiens. The sequence goes on from NW_003315930.1 coordinate 96,249, forward strand.
GGGAGGGGATGAGGTTACATGGCAGTTTCCTTCCTCTACCTCTTCCATGAGTGGTTCGCTTAAGCCCCCTCCTTTAGATCAAGGTAAGAAAAGGGAAGCAATCCCCTTGCCTTCCCTGGAGAGGTCAAAAGGAAACACATAGCAGGGCAGCTCTAACCCAACTCTTTATAGAAACCCCATCTCCAATCTCTCTGATTCATCTCGAGCCTTCTCATATGCACAGGCTACAAGGGAGAGATGGGCTAACACTTGTAGAGCTGGGGTAGGTGCCAGGGGCTGCCACTTAACATATTGACAGTCTAGCACCACTCTTTAGAAAATAGAGGTTGTTGTCACTTATTGTTTGGGGCTTTGAGGTCTTAGCACAGATAGGAGAAGTCTCACGTAATATTCATTCATGCTTACGTCATCCTTGAAAGCTGTATAAAAAGACTAGAGTCTGACTTTATCATAGTAAGGGCCACCAAAACCCTTACAACTAAAGGCTTGTGAAGATAACTGTCAGACTCATAGGGTGGAAAAACATGCATCATAACTCATTATCTTTGGGTGCCGTCTGCTCACCATGGCAGCAGACCAGTGGGTATTTCCCTCTGGCATACATCTCTTCAGACCAGGTTGTCTGCCCTACTGGGGAGACAGCTTGTCCAGACAACCAGCAACACTGGAGCAGACAACACAACTGGAGTGCAAATGTGGCCAGCAGGGCGCATCACAGCTGAGTCAGAGGATGCCTCTGGCACCGCGGCCAAGCCAAGGGCAGTCTTAGGGGAATGCTGGTGAGCCAGACTGCTTGAAAATAAACATTCAGGAACCGCCTTTAAAGTTCTTTCCCTAATGCAAGGGGAAATGGCTGACTACCAGGGGCCACTGGTTCCACATGAAAAGTTCAGCTAATACAGAGGGCTGCTGCAAGAAAGGAACAGACAGCCTCTTCAGGAGCAAGTGTGCATACACCAGCACTGCAGGCTCCATCCCAGAAGGGGCCTGAGCACTGGCAGCATGACTGAGAACTGTGATCTTTCTTTCAACTGAATTTGAATTTTTTTTTTGCCTAGAAACCTCAGGCTCTTTGTGTATAATCCAGAATTAGGTAATAATAGATTGATTTTCACTCTGTGTATGGCAAAGCAGAACAGATTGTAGAGGAATGGCAATAAGCTTCTCAATTCTTAATCTTATGGGGGAACCCATTTCCCCCATATAACCTCTTTCGTTTTCAGTTCAAGTTGTAATACTTTAGAATCTCTGTGGCCTGCAGGGTATCCAGTGATTTGGCAGATTAAAGGATTCTGTCTACTTAAAGTCCATCTATACCTAGTTTCATCCTACTTGAATCTTAACGATCTGACAAAGGAAAAAAAAAAAAAAGCCTTTTCCAGAGGTTCTGGAAGCTCTAGAGCCCTATGCCAGATAGGAGTGTTGGGTTCATTGAACTAGGCAGGAAGATTCTCCTAATATCAGACACTGGACAAAATTTTCCAAGAACTCCAGGCTACCATCATTGTTTTTAGAAAGGAGAATACAATGGCACCTGCAGCCACCTACCCATTGACTCCTCTTCCTCAGAACAGATTGTATCTGATGACACACTCAGCCTGGTTTGGCTGTCATTCCTCCAGCCTCTTCTCCTGGGGCAGACACCTGAATGACAATTTCTGAATCACCCCTAACAGTTCAACTGAGATAGTAAACTCATGATGAGCTACCTTTTGTTCCCCAATGAGAAGCTTAATGTTGCTCAAATTGTCAGTAAATAGAACCCAGCTTTGGCAACAAATGAATGATGGAAAGAAAAAGGGTACAAGAGCATGCGGTCTAGTCTGGTGGTTCTGTATGAGACTTAGTGTCAGCAGTCTTGGTCTTATTCCCAGCAGCCTCTCTGACTCACTTTGGGCAGATCATGTTGTGTTTTCTGGATGCTTTTTGGATCAGAAATGTGACTGTGGTTCACTTGGCCTAGCATCCTGAGCACAAGTTGCTAGTGAGGCACTTTGGCTGCAAATGCACAAAATATTGTCCACACAGCAGGTGAGTTACTACCCTTTAAAGACAACTCTCAGATGTCCGTCATCTGCAAGGAAGATGAATTTACAACAAGGCTGGCTGTGGAAGCTGACACTAAGCTGGGACTAGGTGGGAAAGAGATTTCCTGGGAGAGATGGCTATGAAGGCTCTGAGGAGAAAGGAGCCAGAGTAGCTGGGGACAGGCCCAGTGTCCTTATGGGGCACAGCAGCCATAGTGCCTAGGAGCCATGGCATTTTTAGGGGTCCATGACAATATTTTAATTTTATTTATTTGAAAATTGGAAGGGTAAAATGAATATAATAATTTCTAGCCTACATCATATACCTCTTTATGCCAATGTAGTAATAAACTAAAATGTTAAGATTATTTTATTTATTTTTATTTTTTTTATGGAGGAATGAGCCCACAAAAGTCATAAAGATGCCCTGGGTAGGGAAAACTTTCAGCTCAGGACGCAAACCTGACCCCTGAGGAAGAGGAGAACCTGGGCCGATGGGAGCTGCTGAAGGGCCCCATGGCAGACAGAATGGCCTGCCCCTCTGCTATGCTTGGTCACTGCCTGGGAGCAGCCCAGAGTGGTGTGGTCTTGGTACAAACTCTCCTGCAGGTCCAAAGGTGAGGTGGCTGGAGACCCAGTCAATGATGGTTCCTTCAGCAAGTTCTCTTAAAGGGGATCTCTGTGGCCCCTGCAATTAGGTATCCAGGAAACAAAGTATTACACATACATTATAATACAAAGAATTGTAGCTCTCCTCCACTCAGTTCTCCCTGCTCATATCTCACAAAAAGATTCTGTTTCATTGGTAAGTCATGTTACAAAGAGCAATGAAGACTTCATCTCTGTCTTTGATATTCACATGAGTTCTTAGAGAACAGAAGCAGATTACAGAAGCTAACTGGTCATAGGCATTCTCCACTACTAGAATGTTCTCGTCAAGGCTTGCTGGCCACCAGGAGTGCTTTAGAGGGTTTCCAAGCTTGGGATATGGAGGAGTGACCTTCCCTCCATATCAGAGGTTCTTTGATTCTATCCAGTCTGTCATTCCGATTCTTCCTTTAAAATTCCTGCCCAGAGGTGGCAAAGTGGAGCCAACAGTGGTTTCCAGCCTGCAGATATGTTTATTTGGCGCATACAAAGTTTAAAAAAATATGGTGGGGAGTGTTAGGCGTTGAATTGTGCACAGTCAAAATTCAAATGTTGAAGTCCTAACCCCCAGGACTTAGAATGTGACCTTGCTTGGACATAGATGGGTGCAGAGGTCATTAGCTAAGATGAGGTCATGCTGGAGTAGGGTGGGCCTCCAATCCAATATGACCGCAGTCCTTATTAAAAGGGGAACTTTGGGCACAGAGAGAAATGTACACAGGGAGAATGCCATGTAAAGATAAAGGCAGAGGCCTTCAAGCCAAGGAATGCCAAAGATTGCCAGCACACCACCAGAAGCCGGGAGAGAGGCCCAGAACAAATCCTTCCCTCACGGCCCTGAGAAGGAACAATCCCTGCTGACACCTTGATCCTTGACTTCTGGACTCCAGAACTGTGAGGCAATACATGTGTGTTGCTGAAGCCTCCCACTTTGCAGTATTTTGTGACAGCAGCCCTAGCAAACCACACAGGAAGCATCCCTTAAAAATGGATAGATTTGCCGTGAAAACCTGAATTCCAGGCTAGGATGGGGAAAGCCTGCAGCATGGGGCTGGGTGCCGGGCATCCGCTGCAGTAGACCCTGCTCTCTCAGGGAGGCTGGAGAACATGGGGGTGAGGGGCCAGGCTTCTCACCCCAAGCCGGTTATTGCCGCATAAGAATATGGGCCTAGGACTATCAGATGTTTTTATTTTTCCAGATAAGCTTGATTTCTGTTTCTCGATGTGGGGGAAATATGATTTCAAATACTGGCTACTAATTTACCACTCTCTATTTTCTCCCTGACTCAATCAACTTCACTCATACACTTAATCTGGCTGCCTCCTCTGAGAATTTGAGTTTGTAATCTCTGTTTATTCACTGTTGTGTGGTTTGGCAAAACGATAAGGTAAACTATATTCAAAGAAGATTATTCAGGGGATTCAGGATGTTGAACAACTTGCCACCAGGAGAAAGTGAGCTTTGACCTGTCCATTTTTCCCTTCTGCCATGTTGAGATGAGGACCTTTCTGAGACCATGTCTGTACATTAAATAACCATGTGTTGAGAGCCCACCACATACCGGGCTATGTACTAGATACACAGTAAATGTCCAGTGTATAAATGCATATGCTCCTCCTAATATTTGTTTCTGCTCTGCTCTTCATAATGGAGAAAAGGTATTCTTTATTTCCTTATTTTATTTTTTGGAGACAGGGTCTTGCTTATCACCCAGGCTGGAGTACAGTGGTGTGATCATAGCTTACTGCAACCTTGAACTCATAGGCTCAAGTGATTCTCCTGCCTCAGCCTCCCTAATAGCTAAGACCAGAGGTGCATGCTACCATGCCCAGCTAATTTTAAGAAAGCTTTTCTGTAGAGACAGGGGTCTCACTATGTTGCCCAGGCTGGTCTCAAGTTCCTGGCCTCAAGCAATGCTCCCGCCTCAGCCTCCCAAAGTGTTGGGATTACAGGCATGAGTCACTGCACCTGGCCAGGAATTCTTATTAACCAGAAATTATGTCATGGAAATGAAGATATTAAGCTGTAATTATTCTGAGCTTGTAAACAGAAAGGGCATTCTGTTGAAGCTGCATTGAATAGCACTTCTTTGTCATCACTCAAATGAATTCAGAAAAAATTGCTAACAATGATAGCTTACCCTTTATACAAAACAGGCTATAGGGCAAGCATGGTTCTAGAATTGTGAATGGCGTTGTAATTGTTAGACAGCTACAATGTACCAGGCACACGCTAAGCACTTTACATACATGACTCCATGTAATATTCATTGCCTCTATGAGGAAAGTATTTGATTGTCATTCTAGAGATCAGGAAATTGAGACCCAGACATACTCAGAAACTTGTTCAAGGTCACAGGGCTAGTAAGAAGTGGAGCAGGATTCAACCTCATTTCTCTTCAATGCTAAGTCAAGGCTGTCTCCATTCTGCCACATGGTTTCTGTGTTTCACCAAGATGCCCCTAATGGAGGCCAGCCTCTGGGTCCAGAGCCCACAAAGACCTGCCAAGAGTGGTACCACACATTCACTCCTCCAAATTTCAGTGTCGATTGACTTGCATGCTATTAACAACACACAAATTGCCATATAGTTGGAATTCAAAATCTTAGTTTCACTCAAAAAACACATGGTGACATCTTGCATTAATTGTAAACATGTGCAGGAGGGTCTCTCCATGCCCTTTTAAGAATAGATGGTAAGCTTTGTCTTTGTGTGCTCTTCAGAGTCTTATGACTCAAATAAGGATTGGGAGGGAGTGGCTTCTCAGGTAATGTTCTATTTCTCTCCATGGGTGTGTTCAGCTTGTGAAAACTTAAGCACTTGACAGATGACACATCTACCTTTCTCTGTGTATATTTTACTTGAATCAAAAGTAAGGAAAGTAAAAGGAATGGTCTCATCCTGTATTTAGCAGAGTGCAATGAACCCCATGGACCCATCTCTCAGCTGCAACATTTCTCCATCCACTCATGGCCAAACCTCTGTCAGCTGTAACTCATCCACTTCCTCCTCACCATTCCCACTGGATTATTTAGAATGCAGAATCACACCATTTCGCCTGAACCTCTTCCCCTCCCCCACCCCCAACTCTTAACACTGTGCTCTGTCTGTGTGATTTTCAGGCCACTACATGTACGTGGACTCAGTTTATGTGAAGCACTTCCAGGAGGTGGCACAGCTCATCTCCCCGTTGACCACGGCCCCCATGGCTGGCTGCCTGTCATTTTATTACCAGATCCAGCAGGGGAATGACAATGTCTTTTCCCTTTACACTCGGGATGTGGCTGGCCTTTACGAGGAAATCTGGAAAGCAGACAGGCCAGGGAATGCTGCCTGGAACCTTGCGGAGGTCGAGTTCAGTGCTCCTTACCCCATGGAGGTAGGTGTACTGGTGCGCACCAGCTGTTCACTGGCACTCTTTAGACATGCCACCCACACACAGGGCTGGAGATGGAGAGGCTGTGCAGCCTCACACTCAGTCTGTCTTTTCTGCTGTGCCTCAACTGTATTCTTTCTCATCCTCAGCCCCTCTCCTGCTCTCCCTTCCTCTGTGTCCCCTTTGCCTGCCTCCTTTATCACCTTCATTTCCTAGCAAGAGTCATTTTTATGAGAACAAATATGGCTAAAGCCAGTTAACCAACTAGACTTCTTGGCGACCCTCTCCTTCTGAACCTTGCACTGTGGTCACAGAGGGTTCAAAAGAGGAGATCAGAACCCTCCAAGTAAAACTCAGTCTTGAGCTACCCTTCCTGAGAGCAGTTTTGAAGGTTTTCCTTACTTGAGTGAACTGTTTTTTTTTTTTTTTTAGAAAAAGTGACTCATTTCTTTTTTTGCAGCATAAATAATGTCGTAAAATCAGAAACAAACTTGCTATTATGGCCCTAGTTTGAAACAAGGCTTGATGCCTTCATTTTAAAACTTTTTCCAGTTATATAAGTGACGTGTTCAATGCAGAAGAATTAGAAAATTCAGAGAAATGAAATGAATTAAAATGCCCTCAGCCAACTTCACAAAGGGGAGGACTACTAACATTAAAGTTCTACTATCTTTTCGACCTTTTTCTAAGCCCGTACATGAATACATGTCTGTATCTATGTATGTATTTCAGAAGCTACAAGTACTTTCAGTACTGACTATCCAGCCAAGTAGATAAAATTATCTCCGTATTTACACACAAGAAGGAAGAAAACAGAGTGTCCAAGAAATTGGACATTTTTTTCTAGGTCACACAGCTGGTGAATGCCAGAGAACTCCGTAACTAAGTTCGTGGACTAAAATCTGACCGAAAGCTGAGGAAGGAGGCCCAGCTCTGTCTGAGGACCCCTTAGGACCTCTAGAATCAGTGGGTGCAGCAATATGGTTGCTATAAGATTGCTATAAAGATTTGGAGCTATAAGTAGAGTCTTGGTTACCCCAAGTTATTAATATCCTCCACTTTTCACTTTGTGCTTTTTGCAATATCTTCTCCAGTTCCCTTTAAAGTGCCAGAGAAACAGATTATTCCTCTGGATGGGTTTCGGTGGTGCCATCTGCTAGCCTGATGTAGAGCTGCAGAGAACAGGGTTAGGTCTTAGTTTCTGATGTGTTTCATCTACTGATGGCGTGCCTGCCTCTCCCCACACCCCCTTCCTATTTACCTCCCTACCTCCCCCCACAAAAAAAAAACACTCTAGAGAGAGCACAGTGTCTCTTGCAGAATGTGTGCTATTTCCTATCCCAAAGTCCAACCAGGTCTCGATTTGTTCTTGCAGCCCAGTGGAAAATTTTCTGTGAGTTTGGGTTACGAGGAGGAAAAGAAATGCATGTACTGCTTCAAAAGTTTCCCGTCAAAGTCAGATGAGTCCCACACACACACTGACAGCGTTCTCTTTACCAACTCCTTCCATCCAACCATAAACTCCTTGGGCAACATTTGTCTGAATCAAATGTTGCTGAATTTTTAAAAATCAATACTTGAAAAGTTACAACTCTGGACACTACTAAACCTCAATACACATCCTTTGGGTCAACACATGTGATTTTGCTCTACTAGTCTGAACTATTCACTGGTGTTATTTGCTCTCACTCATCAGGAAAAGAAAGTTGTCCTGAAGAAATCAGTGAGTTTAATGTCATCACATTCTCAAGTGAATTTTGAGAAGGAAAACAAACATTGGAGACTGTCTGAACAAGAGAACACATTGGCACAGAGGCTGTGATTAGCACATGCTGATCAGGAATAGCATTCTTTCCCCACCGGCTCAGTGTAAATTTTGCCATTCACTTTCTTTACCAGCTAGTGCCTTGAGAGCTAAATGTCATGGACCTGTGTTAAGTTTGTAATGTTAATTTGCCCCCTTCTCATAAGTCCACATCTTTTCCTTCATTCATAGCCCTTCCCCCTTGGCAAAGACAAACTTCTAGGCTTCCCCGTGGATTTTGGAGAGTTTAGGTACCAGGTCCTTATGGGACCATTACTGTTAAGGTGAAAGGTACTTTAAGAACTATTTTGTCCAAACTCTTTTTCTTTTCAAAAAATGAAGAAACCGAGGGCTGGAGAAGAATGGGCCTGCTCAAGCTAATTAGTGGCTAGCTAGGCTGGAACCTGAATAGAAGTTCAAGAGGGAGTCAACCTGCAGAAAAAAAAAAAATTATTTTTGAAACAGGGTCTCACTCTGTCACCCAGGCTGGAGTGCAGTGGAGTGATCTTGGCTCACTGCAACCTCTGCCTCCCAGGTTCAAGCAGTCCTCTCACCTCAGCCTCCCAAGTAGTTGGGACTACAGGCATGTGCCACCACACCCAGCTAATTTTTGTATTTTTTGTAAAGATGAGGTTTCGCCATGTTGCCCAGGCTGGTCTCAAACTCCTGAGCTCAAATGATCCGCCCACCTCAGGCTCTCAAAGTGCTGGAATTACAGGCATGAACCACTGCGGCCAACCAACCTTCAGAAAAAGATAGAAAATTAGTTCAGAGCTTGTTATGTGCCTGACTCTGTGCTCGGATATTTGTATACATTATCTCATTTAATCTCCTCAACAGTCCTACAAGACAGGTGTTTTATAGATAAGAAAACTGAGACCCTGGGAGGTTAACTGATTGATATGGTTTGGCTGTGTCCCCACCAAAATCTCATCTTGAATTCCCACGTGTTGTAGGAGGGACCCAGTGGGAGGTAATTAAATTATGGGGGCAGTTCTTTCTCATGCCTTTCTCGTGATAGTGAATAAGTCTCATAAGATCTGACAGTTTTATAAGGATGAGTTTCCCTGCACAAGCTCTCTTCTCTTCTCTTTGCCTGCTTCCATCCACATAAGATGTGACTTGCTCCTCTTTGCCTTCTGCCATGATTGTGAGGCCTCCCCAGCCACATGGAACTGTAAGTCCATTAAACTCTTTTTCCAGTATAAATTACCCAGTCTCGGTATGTCTTTATCAGCAGCATTGAAACAGACTAATACAGTGATATATCCAGGCCCACCTAGCTAATAAGTGATGAAAATGGGATTTGAACTCTGGTCTGTCTGCTTCCAAGAAACTATTCTATTCAGAAGAAGCTGCAAACTAGAAGCCTAGAGGTCAAATCTAGTCCACAGTGGTGATCTGTCTGGCTGTGGAGTGGGGTTTTTCATTTTATTTTTGTTTTAATTTTTTAATTAATTGCCAGCATTGACAAACTCAAAGATTTCAGATAAAATCTAGAGTCAGATCCTCTTGATAATTTGCTAGATACAGAGACATTAGGCCTCGTATTTGTTTGCTAGGACTGCCCATAACAAAGTAGCACAAAACAGGTCGCTTAAGAAACAGAAATTTTGTATGTCATTGTTCTGGAGGCCAGAAGTTCATGATCAAGGTGCTGGCAGGGCTTGTTCCTTCTGAGGGCCATGAGAGAAAATCTGCCCTATGCCTCTCTCCCATTTCTGGTGGTGTGCTGGCAATCTTTGGCATTCCTTGGCTTGTAGCTCTCTGCCTTCATTTTCACATGGCATTCTGTGTGTGTGTGTGTGTGTGTGTGTGTGTGTGTGTGTGAGAGTGTCTGCATCCAAATTTCTCCTTTTTATAAGGACACCAGTCGTTTAAATTAGAGGCTCACTCTACTTCAGCATGACCTTATCTTAACTAATTACATTTGCGGTGACCCTATTCCCAAATAAGGTCACATACTGAGATACTAGAGGTTGGCACTTCAACACAGGAATTGTGTGTGAGGGATGCAGGGGGACGCAGGTCAACCCATAACAGGCCTGACTTCCCACATATCAGCAATTGATGAGGCTGAGTGACAGCTGCCCTTTTAGACAGGGTTTCTGTCTCTATTTCACAAGAGGCTGCACCATACCAAGCCCACTTCTGCATTTCTACTACTTGCCTGGACTTTGTAGGCACTGAAGTTTCAAGCCCTGTTCCATGCTGCGTCTTCTCAGGTTATTAACTCACACAAGAGGAATGCATACCTGGGTGGTTTTTCCAGCACAGGTGAAGGCTGTGCTGACATCTGATTCCCCCATGGTCACAGGCAGAAGGTGGTTGACTGAGCTCACAGTTAAAGTTGCTGGTAGAGAAGAAAGCAAAACTAAAGGGGTTGAAGTCATTGGCCCATGTTCTTTCTAACCATTGGAACATACCTGGACATGCTGAGATCGGGGTTCTCACCTCTGACTGCTGCATCTTTGTCCAGGCCTTGATGTAGAGTTCATATAGGAAGAAGTAAAGGAACTTAGAGGGTGTTTGCTCCTGAGGGATGGCAGGGAGGTAAAAAAACAAAACAAAACAAAACAAAACAAAAAAACAAAAAAAAACCTGGCCTACTTTCTTAGCTGATTTTTCCTTTAATTGAAGTTCATAATGCTAATTAGTTCTGTAGTTCTAGCAGAAATGACATAGGCACTTCAGCTGACATTCAAGGAAGAGGGGCATATCCATCAATAAAAGGCAACTTTAGAGACTCTGTCTTGGTTCATTCAGGCTGCTATAACAAAATACCATAAACTAGGTAATTTATAAACAACAGAAATGTATTTCTTACAGTCCTGAAGTCTGGGAAGTCCTAGATCAAAGTATTGGCAGATCTGGCGTCTGCTGAGGGCCTGTTTCCTGGTCCATATGGCACCTACTCATTGTGTCCGCAAATTCCAGAAGGGGCAAATGAGCTCCCTTGGACCTCACTTATAAGGGTACCAATCCCATTCCAAAACCTAATCACCTCCCAAAAAGCCCCACCTTCTATTACCATTCCCTTAGGGGTTCATATGTCAACGTATGACTTTTGAGAATTTGTGAGTGTCCCACAGACACTCAGATCATAGCAGTTTCATTCTCCCAAAAAGAGACTGTAGGTTGAGGAGGGTGCTGCCCAAACTCATATTTGGAAATCTGATTCCATGAGTCCTTGTAACTTGGCTTCATCTGGTTTGATTGACATGTCATTTTAAATCATTAAGAGCACTTAAGCCAAACCGAAAATATGTGAACATGTGACAGCATGCCATTTTCCTCTGCAGGTTATTTTTGAAGTTGCTTTCAATGGTCCCAAGGGAGGTTATGTTGCCCTGGATGATATTTCATTCTCTCCTGTTCACTGCCAGAATCAGACAGGTGAGCATTCTCTATTTGTCATTGCATTTTGGGATGTTCCTGTTTCAATAGATGTTTGTGGTCAGAACTTGTTTTAATTGCTTTTAATTTTCATATCTTTCCCCTTCTGTCATCCTTAAAAAATTATTTAATCAAAGGTCATTTTTCTGGAATATTACTCTCTTTTCCTCCCTCACAGAGGGAATCTAATGTTTCTGACACCATCAGCCAGTTGTCCTATCTTAGGAAGGTTTCATCTTTCCTTTCCAGGAAAAGAAAATTAAATAATACTAACTTATTCTCACACACTCACTCCATCTTTCTCTTTAGAGGATATCTTGGGCCCATAAATGGGTGGCTGGGTAGATGGACAAAGCTCTCACAATCTACTGAATAGAATAATATATTTTAAAAACGCTTTCCAACTGTATGTATCCAAAATTTATAAATGGCCTCATGTTTAAAGACGTTAGTATTTGGTAGACATCTCTAGATAGTTTTAGCTAAATAGCATGTGCTCTTAATTAAATTACTTTCCACTTCCAGGATGAACCCTCAAATTATTTTATCATGATCAGTTTTGAGATTTCATAAATTTGATGTTTAAAATGAGAGGATTATTTTTACTCTCTGGAAAAATAGGTAAGCAAATTGATTCAAAGTGAATTAGAAAGCAAATGTTTTATAATAAGAAGGATAATAATATAGTAATGATAACCCAGATAAATAAAATTGACCTTACTGTTTAGTGAATTTGTTTCCTTGAGAGACCAAGGGAGACATTATGGTCACCCCGCCTTATTAGTGAGCCCTTATTCTTGGTTATGTAGCATGGAAAGTAATTTATGAACTTGGCGTTTGAGGTCTTTCACTCAAGATAGAGTTGGTTTGTAATTTAATATGATTTCAGATACATTCTGCAAATCGGGGGACTAAGAAATTTTTTTTTTTTTTTTGGGAAGGGGAATTGGGGGGTCTCGCTCTGTCACCCAGGCTAGAGTGCAGTGGTGCAGTCACAGCTCACCACAGCCTCAAACTCGTGGCCTCAAGTGATATTCCTGTCTCAGCCTTCTGGGCAGCTGAGACTGGCTAGTTTTTTTGGTTTTTATTTTAGTAGAGATGAGGTCTCACTATGTTGTCCAGGCTGGTCTTGAACTCTTGAGCTCAAGGGATCCTCCCACTTTGTCCTCCCAAAGTGCTGGCATTACAGGTGTGAGCCACAGTTTACATGGAAAAATATTTTCAACTTGAGCTAAACTGTTACCCCAAAACTAGACAGCAATCTACTAATTTGCTGAAATTGAATACTATTTTTCCTAATTCTAATCTTTTAAAAGGTTGTAAAACAGATAGAACCAGATTAGATTTACATACTTTTTAATGATTTAATCCAAACAATAATCAAAGATTAAAAGAGTCTCTAAATTTGACAGAACACAGAAACCAACATTGTTTTACTTCTCTACATTTGATTCCTCCCTAATCCTATCAGTTGATATTTCAATTACATTCATAGTAATTTTATAATCTCTTTATCATTATTTTTAGACAAAATCTTTTTTCTATCACTAGGCAGTGACGCTGAAATTTATATTCCCTTGTTTTGTCTATGGTAGAAGAGGTGTTTATCTAATATCTGCGCTGGGCAGAGGGTGGGTGAAGAGGCAGCTGGAAGTAACAGAACCAACTGAATCACCCACAAGTAATGTTCAGAAATGCTCCTCCTTTTGAAAAAAAGAGAATTTGTGTGAGCTCTTTCCTACTACACAGGTGGTCTGTCTGGTGAAAGGAAAAGAAACGTTCCAGCAAAACAAGGACCATGTGTTAAGAGGGCTGTTGATCCCTCAGTCTGCAAAGCACAGACTCCTTCTGTGCAGGAACTTCCGCAGATATGAGTTCTTATACAGTTCGGTTAACCAAGTCTCCATACTGATCTTCAGAACTTCCCACTATGCCAGCTTGGCTTTAAATGGTTTAATTGCATCATCGTAGTGTTATGCTCAATCCACCAGGAATGTGGATTCACATCCCTATTCTGCCACTTCCAAGCTATCTGGCATGGGTCATGTTATTTAACTTCTTTGAGACTCTTTCCACATCTATAGCAAAGACGGAAGAAGCTGTTTCATAGACTTGTTGGGAAAGTTAATGAGTTAATGTCTGTGAAGGCCTTAGCACAGAGTATGGTACACAGAAAATGCTTCATCATGAGACAGTATTATTTACTTTATTTTCAAAATATGACCACCCATCCCTGGAGAACAGTGGGTCAGATTGCAACTAAAGAGAACCAGCAAAGGGCACTAGCTTGATGATTGTGTCAGCTGGAGCCTGCTTTATGTCTTTCATTGAGCAGCTGTGGGCCAGACTGAGTCTTTAGAAGCTGAGCCTTTTAATTTTCATACTTCATCTTACATTTCACAAATAGTTTATGCCCTTCTGTTTCATAACAGGTGCCAACATTTTTTCCTTAACTTGGTTAACTCCAGACTTCTTGTCTCTGCTTTTCCCAGCTGGACCTAGCATTTTCTTCCCTCATCTCCCTAATAGGCTAAGACAGGAATCATATCAACATACACAGCATCTTGTTCCCACCATCTGGTTGCGTTTAGAGTTAATCCAGTCTCCCGGACCTGAGACCCATCTCATAGTCACAGGTACTCAACAGCAATGTCATGTGGCCCTCCAATGAACTGCCCCCCACACCCGGTGCTTCCAGAGGACCGTGAGACCATCCCCCACTTCCTTCTCCATCCCTTTGCCCCCTCACTCTCCCCCTGCACAACCACATCTGTCCCAAAGTTTAGAAGATGGGAGCAAGCCTTCCTTTTGGTCTGTAAATCTTTGAATGCCTAAGAGGTGATCCCATTCACTTCTAGAATCCTGCCATAAAGCCCAGCCTCAAACTGAGAGCTCTACTGCTCTGCCATATGCAGACCCAATCTCCTTTCTGGGCTTGGGTCCACCCCACACCCAGTGACTGGGTATATCCTAACACTCATGGGAACGCCTCTCAGAGAATCACTACCTAAATCCCAATATTGGCCATTCACTGACAACACATTGCCCCAACCTCCTGTCTGTTTGGAAACCCAGGCCCAATTACTGCCTAGGCTACAGCTAAGGTTGCCCCAGCCTTTCTTATCTTAAGTGCCCCCAAGGGTCTCCACAGCCTAGTCGGTGACTCTGGCCCTTGTTTCCCCATTGGTCTTCAGTGTGGTGCCAGGTCCCACTGCCTCTCCTACCCAAGCCAGCTTTGAGCTGTCTCAGCCTGCTTTTGGGCTGGCACATGCTAGAGTAAAACTACCCTGCAAGGTTAGCAGTGTAGAGAACACACTGCCCCCAGTATCTATCTTTTAGTACTCTAGGGGCTGATGAGCCTTTTAGTCTGTGGGACCGATGTTGAGTTTCTCTCCGTGAACTCCAGGGAGCAGAGGAAACGATGAGAAATGTTTCCAACTACTCTCAAACTGCAACACACTCCCGCTAATTAGATTATCTTCAAAGCTTCTCATTTCTTAAAAGTTCAAATGTCAGAAAGCAAGTAATTAACTAAACCTTACATTATGATGCTTTTTGGTAAGTTGCTTAAAGGGGCTTTAGTTCTTTTTTCTTTTTTTCTTGATCATCAACAGATGCTCAGAGGCTTCCAACTGCCTCTGATTCCTCCCTATGCTTCAAATACATCATTGCACTTCCCAGCAGCTAAATTTGTGATCTGCCCTTTACTAACACCTCTGAAACAAGCTTGAAGCAAAGCCTCTGCACCCACTCAGGTCACAGACAGGCCTCTGGCCCCATCTTCAGGAATCAGACACTGTCTCAGGGTAGAAGCAGCACTCTAGGTGAAAAAGATTTAGCCCCTGAGTTATGCTTTTGAGATTTTTTTTTATCAGACCTCCTCAAGACCCCAGGAAAATCCATTTCAAATCTATTCATTAGCAAAATATTATAATCCCATCATCAGAAAAATATTTTCTGTATGACTCAGTCTATCACCATGGAGAGAAGTGATCCTGGCTTACTTTTAAGCTTTTTTTGATAGGCATTATTTTTTAGTGTAGTTTTAGGTTCACAGCAAAATTGAGAGGAAGATACAGAGGTCTCTCATAGTCCCTGTGCCTTCATATACATCACTGTCCCCAGAGTCCATAGTTTAGATTAAGGTTCACTCGTGGTATTGTATACTGTATGGATTTGGACAAATGTATAATGACATGTATCCACCATTGTAGTATCATACATTTTCATTGCCCTAAAAACCCCCTCTATATCCAGGCCAGGCATGGTAGTGCACACCTGTAATCCCAGCACTTTGGGAGGCAAAGGAGGGTGGATTGCTTGAGCCTAGGAGTTGTAGACCAGCCTGGGCAACATGGTGAAACCCTGTCTCTACAAAAAATACAAAAATTAGCCAGGCATGGTGGTGCATGCCTATGGTCCCAGCTTCTTAGGAGGCTAAAGGAGGAGGATAGGTTGAACCCAGGAGGCAGAGGCTACAGTGAGCCAAGATTGCACCAGTGCACTCCAGCCTGGACCACAAAGTGGGACCCTTTCTCAAAAACAAAAAGCAAACAAAAAACTCTCTATGTTTTGCCTATTCACCTCTCCTTCCCCCAAACCCGTGGCAATTACTGTTCTTTTTACTGTCCCCATAGTTTTGCCTTTTCAAGAATGTCACATAGTTGGAATCATAGAGTATGTAGCCTTTTCAGACTGGCTTCCTGCACTTTGTAATATGTATTTAAGTTTACTCCGTATCATTTTGCGGCTTGATAGCTCATTTCTTCTTAGCGCTGAGTGATATTTAGTTGTCTGGATGTACCACAGTTTATGTATCTACTCACCTACTGAAGGACATAGCTTGGTTGCTTTCAAGTTTTGGTGCTTATGAATAAAACTTCTGTAAACTTTCACGTTTTTATGCCACCTTCCACCCCCTCCCACACATCTAATAACTGAGTTAAGATTCTCTTGCAGTCGCCCAAGAGCACTGCTTTAAGATTCATTTCTTCTTCTCCCCTCTCTAGCTGGGACAAAGAATGAAAAAAAAGGAGGAAGGGGGAAGATTCATTCCTGATGAGGAATTCACTGACCTACTGTTTTCGTGCATGGCACTTGGCAGTGCCACCCCATTTCCTGAGTTAGATGGCCCTCTGTAGATTTGGGATTTTTATTTGTTTTTTTATTACCCAGTAGCAGAGGGGTGACTAATACTGAATACTTTAATGGGGTTTCCTGTGGTCTCAAATATCCATGGGAGAATGTCAAAGGATCCTTGTTCATGTAACATCTTGTTCATTTTTCACAGACTTTATCTTCAGGGCTTAAAGATATACCCTGGTGCTGACAGAATCAGGCAGACCAGGGTGTGGGCTAATCTACCCATCTTAGAGCATTGAGAATTCTCTTCATTTCCTCTTCTCCAGTCTGGCTCATCTGGGTTTGCTCCTGGTGCACTTCCTAGGGTATATCCCCTGAGATACAATCAGGTTCTAGTTATATAGGAACACTTTTTACCTAATCTTTTTTTTTGTAATGTGTTGTTAATCAGTTACTTTTTAAAATTTAATTTTCTTGGAGCTCTTTAATTTTCTATCATTTCAAACTCAGACAAAATCTGCAGGAAAACTACAAAGAACTCCTATATACTTTTCACCCAGCTCTACAAATTAAGATTTTGCCATGTTTGCTTTATCTACCATTTAAGAATAGGTTGCAAACATCATGCCCCTTTACCATTAAATATTTTAGTGTGTATTTTATAATCAAACACATTCTTCAGCATAACTATAGGATAATTACGGAGTTCAGGAAATTTAATACTGATACAACATTATCAACTTACTTTCGGTCCATACACCAATGTTTCCAATTGCCCCAATAACAACCTTTATAGATATGTGTTCTTCTGGACCAAGATTGAATCTTGCATCCCTGGTAGCATTTGATTGTCATGCCTCTTTCATCCACTTTAATCTGGGTCAGTTCCTCAACCCACCTGAATGTTTTCTTGCTTTGGAAATTGACAAATTGAGAATATAGTAAGTTTTTATAGTGAGCTGTTTCATCGGCTCACTGCTCCTAGAGCCCAAATGTTTCCCTAGAGATAATTTTCCAGTTATTCAACACATGTCCTCTCTCCCTAGATTGTTAGACGTGTATGTCAGCATTCAGACAAGAATCACACTTGGCTGCACCGACTGTATCCCAACTGCTACAGTCACATCCCCTCTGTTCTAAGAGGGCAATCTGAACAGTGTGATTTACAAGCCAATTGTTGATAGGATTAAAAGTTATTCTCAAAAGAGCAGAAGCATTTTATTTGTATAAATGTATGTGGTACAAATACAGTTTTGTTACAGGCATAGATTGCATAGTGTTAAGTGAGGATTTTAGGGTATCCATCCTGGCGTAACATACATTGTACCCATTAAGTAATTTCTTACCTTCCATACCCCCTCCTACTCCCTCACCCTTCTAAGTCTCCACCGCCTATCATTCCACTCTCTGTATCAGTGTGTACACATTATTTAGCTCCCACTTATGAGTGAGAGCATGTAGTATTTGTGTTTCTGTGTCTGACTTGTTTCACCTAAGATAATGACCTCCAATTCCAACCATGTTGCTGCAAAAGACATAATTTCATTGTTTTTATGGATGAATAGTATTCCAGTTTGTATGTACATATGATACTTTCTTTATTCAGTCATCCGCTGATGGGCACTGAGGTTGTTTCCTTATCTTTGCTACTGTTAATAGTGCTAAGATAAACATACAAGTGCATCATCTTTTTGATATATTGATTTCTTTGCCTTTGACTAGATACCCAGTAATGGGATTGCTGGATCAAATGGCAGTTCTATTTTCATTTTTTTGAGAAATCTCCACACTGTTTTCCATAGTGGCTGTGCTAGTTTACATTCTCACTAACATTGTATAAGAGTTCCCTTTTCTCCACATCCTCACCAACATCTGTTAATTTTTGTCTTTTTAATAATAGCCATTCTGACTAAGATGATATCGTGTAGTTTTAATTTGCATTTCTCTGCTGATTAGTGATGTTGAACATTTTTTTTATATACCTGTTGGCCATTTGTATGTCTTCTCAAAGAGCAGAAATCTTTTATGTTACCTCCAGGCCATCTGGGGTGAGGTATTTATAGAACAGGGTAAATAATACCAGAACTCGGCAAAGTCAAAGCAATAGCAGTACCCATGACAGAACTGTGACTCTTTGACCTGCACAATTTAAACTGAGTGATGACTTTCTTCAAGCAGATCAGCTCCTACTACTGATGTCAAAGTAGACATCAGCTGTGCTTCTGACACAGAGATTGAGCAACAAAGGAAAATTGTTTCTATAAAATATTATATCTAAAATCTTCATCTTAGAGACAGATTGAGTCCCATAAAATCTCTTCCTTTTCTCTTTTTTCTTTTAAAATTTTTATGAATGAATTGTGAATTGTGAAGAAGTATATGAATAAACATTCACAGTCATGACAGGAAATTTCTTTTTATTTATTTATTATTATTATTATTATACTTTAAGTTTTAGGGTACATGTGCACAATGTGCAGGTTAGTTACATATGTATACATGTGCCATGCTGGTGTGCTGCACCCATTAACTCGTCATTTAGCATTAGGTATATCTCCTAATGCTATCCCTCCCCCCTCCCCCCACCCCACAACAGTCCCCAGAGTGTGATGTTCCCCTTCCTGTGTCCATGTGTTCTCATTGTTCAATTCCCACCTATGAGTGAGAACATGCGGTGTTTGGTTTTTGTCCTTGCGATAGTTTACTGAGAATGATGATTTCCAATTTCATCCATGTCCCTACAAAGGACATGAACTCATCATTTTTTATGGCTGCATAGTATTCCATGGTGTATATGTGCCACATTTTCTTAATCCAGTCTATCATTGTTGGACATTTGGGGTTGGTTCCAAGTCTTTGCTATTGTGAATAGTGCCGCAATAAACATACGTGTGATGTGTCTTTATAGCAGCATGATTTATAGTCCTTTGGGTATATACCCAGTAATGGGATGGCTGAGTCAATTGGTAATTCTAGTTCTAGATCCCTGAGGAATCGCCACGCTGACTTCCACAATGGTTGAACTAGTTTACAGTCCTACCAACAGTGTAAAAGTGTTCCTGTTTCTCCACATCCTCTCCAGCACCTGTTGTTTCCTGACTTTTTAATGATCGCCATTCTAACTGGTGTGAGATGGTATCTCATTGTGGTTTTGATTTGCATTTCCATGGGAGGAAATTTCTTTTGAAGTCGGGTACTTCATTTTTATAATGTGAACAGTGCTCCTTTCTCCCCTCCCTTTAGAAAGGAAAAGAACAATTTTCCTGTCATGTTGAAATGTTGGTTTGATTCTAACCTGTCAGCATGCCCTTTGGATAAAGATATTTAGTTGTGTTTTACTTCTTCGGTCTCCCCTGGTACAAATGTGTATATATAAATATCTGTCAACCAGTTGATGTAGTCCTTTGAGATCTTTGGGACTGTCATTAACTTTGCTTGTCCTTTGCTCAGAACTTCTGTTCAGTGCCGTGGAAGCCAGCTGCAATTTTGAGCAAGATCTCTGCAACTTTTACCAAGATGAAGGTCCAGGTTGGACCCGAGTGAAAGTAAAACCAAACATGTATCGGGCTGGAGACCACACTACAGGCTTAGGTAAATCAGAGATCTGTCTATGTGGGGACATCTTGGGTAGTCGTGAGCTTTATTGGCCATTCCTACTTCACACCTGCAAAGACATCGACTTAAAGAAAAAAGGCAGCTGTGAAGAAGCAAAGACAATCAGTAGTCTTGTGTTTGACCATTTTTAAAAATTGGAATTCAAGTTGCCGTGTTAACAAACATATTTGCTAGTTAATTAAACAGGCAAATCCTTGTAAAATATTTTGGAACTCACTTTAGATGCAATACCTTTAAGGAAAAAAAATCTGTTGAATTGTATTTATACGAAATCTCCAGAAGAGACATATTCCTACAGATAAAAAGCAGATTTCAGTGGTTGCCAGGGGCCGTGGCAGAGGGAATAAGAGTGTTTAAGTATGGGGTTGCCTTTGGGTGATGAAAATGATCTGGAACTACATAGTGGTGATGGCTGCACAGCATTGTGAATGCTCAAAATGCCGCTGAATTGTGCACTTTCAAATGGATAAATGGTAAATTTTATACCATGTATATTTTACTATAATTTAAAAAATCTATTCTGAGGGGAAAAGCTATTAAAAAATGTTGAGTGGACACTTGATGGATATATTTACAAGGAGCTTTTTGAAACAGGAGTCTGAGTGCTCCTTGTGTAGGGATTACCTATTAATTCAATGACAGCCTTTGTGGAGCCCAACCCAGTGGAGACAAGTGTGAAGAGCTTGATCTCTAGGAGTTCAGTGTCTCATTCACTTACTCAACACATATTTATATACTGGAGACTGAGGTGAGTTTACCGTGGAGCTGGTGAAGCTTAGGTTCCAGGGCCCCTGCCTTCTACCAGCCTGAGAAAGGCCTTGAAAGAGCCCTCACAATTTTGTGCTTGTAATTTTGTATTCTTTTCTTAGAGGTTGCCTAACCTGTAGAAATAAAGGCCCTACCAAATCTATTCTGACCTTGGGCTGATTAACTGGAAAATCATCTCTAGAGAACCATTTGAATTCTGGGAGCAGTGAACTGATGAAACGGGGAACTGTTTAGGGACAAAAAGACTCACCATACTCTCAGTTTGTCAATTTTCAAAGTAATAAAACATTCAAGCGGATTAACTCCTGGGGAATACAATAGTGAACGAATCTGAAATGAATCCCACCTTCACTGGCAGACAATCTTTTCAAAGGGCAAGAGAAACATTAGACAAATATATACGCAAACAAACTTATAAGCACAGGTTGTGGTAAGTGCTGTCAGGGAGGAAAAACTTTTCCTCTACCCTCTTGGGTTCCATGTTTGGACCTGAGAATTAAAGTGATGTAAGACAGATTAACAAGAAAAAAATACAAATTTTATTTAATATTTTGACTTGCACTTGGGAGCCTTCATAAAAACAATGAAGACCCAAAGAAGCAGATAGGCCTGAGAGCTTCAACACCATTTTAAACAAAGGATGATAAAATTGCGGAGAAGTAGCAAGACAAAAAAGGGTCAGGGGGCTTAAGTTTCCAGGGGCAGTAAATTGTGGGAAAGTGACTAGGAAATATATGGAGGAAACAATGGAAGATGAGGGTTATGTTAGTAGGTTTGTTTGTACAGATCCATTTTGGTGTCAACTCCCAGTCTTTAGGGACAGAATGTTCCTCCCTTTCTGGGACAGGGAGAACACCTTGTTCACAGGAAATTTTATGACCTGCTTTTAAGTATAATAGAAAAGGGGAGGTCAAAGGATCCTTCCTGCCTCTGCTATTTCTCAAGTGACTTTACCTCAAAATAATCAAAATGCCAAAGTGACATAGTTTGGGGTGGCATGTTCTGATCCCCTTCTTTCACAGTAGAAAGAAATGAAGAGTGAGCTCTGAGACAGAATAGAGGGAAGAATCTAATTTGGGTTCAGGATTCAGGGAAATTTTCTCTGAGGGAAGCTGCCATTAGCTGGGAGAGTGGGAGTGACCCAGGCAGAGGGAACAACATCTGTGAAGGCCTCGAATTTGGAAAGAGCTGGTCACACCACAGAATAGGAAGGTCTGTATGGCTGCACCGTGGGGAGGAATGGTGACGAGGAGAATGGAGGAAAATGATGTCAGAGAGGGAGATAGATTCTGGGTGTGGCAGGCCACAGGAAGCATTTGGAATTTTATTATAGAGGACATGAGAAGCCACTGAGAGGTTTTAAGCAGAAAAAACACAGATGAAACTGAGGTTTCAAAAAGGTTTTTCTGGCTGTTGTATGGCCATCCATAATAGTCTGCTCAGGCAGCCATAAGAAAATACCACAGACTGGGTGGCTTAAACAACAGACATTATTTCCTCACAGTTCTGGAGGCTGTGAGTTCAAAATCAAGGTGCCATCAGGGTGGTTTCTGGTGAGGGGTCTCTTCCTGGCTTGCAGATGGCCACCTTATCCTGTGTCCTCATATGTCCTCTTGGTGTATGGAGGCATAGAGAGCTCTGGCATGTCTTTCTCTTCTTTTGAGTTAAATAACTGGGTAAAACTAAACTGTATACAAAGACTGAGGCACCCAAAAGAAAACTGACAGGAGGAGGAGCAGAAAAAAGAAAGAGAAAAAATAAGGTGTTATTATTTTTTTCTTTTCTGCCCAGGCTTTCCAGGATACACAAACTCATTTTAAATTGACCATGGGGATGGTGGGAGGGGGAGGTTCCTGATCTTATTTTTCTTTATGTTGTTTAGGAGGAATAAAGGAAGAACATAGATCTTTAGCACCTGGGAGGATCCATCTGATGAAAAACCTGCTCTTCAAGGGCAGGTTTAACATTTGACCAAGAGAGGAGTAGGCTCTGCCCAGACACACAAACTTCCACAAAGACTGCCAGGCCAGCCTGAAATCCCACCATCTCTATCGGTCACTAAGGAGATAATAAGGAAGAATCTGCTCTGGGCCTTCCATTCACTATGGTTCAGTCCTCGGAATGTACAATCTAAGTCAGATGGTTGACCCAGGCAGCTGGTATCTCCAAGATGACTTCATCCTTTTTGTTTCATGAAAAGTGTAAATCCTAATTAATGACTGGAATCTGGGCATATTCTATAGAAAATCTGTACTGGTTTATAAAGTTTACTTAGAATTGAACGAGGTATCATTTCAATAGAGGCACATGGATATTTTCTGTCACTTAAGCCACAGACATTAGAAAATGCTTTCTATCATTTAAAGCATAGCTGATAGTCTTTGCTGTCTAGTTCTACTTTAATCATATTTTACCACTTGCTAATCTAGATTAGATTATTTTGCATTGCTGATATGCTTTATCTTCTTTGCAGGGTATTACCTGCTAGCCAACACAAAGTTCACATCTCAGCCTGGCTACATTGGAAGGCTCTATGGGCCCTCCCTACCAGGAAACTTGCAGTATTGTCTGCGTTTTCATTATGCCATCTATGGATTTTTAAAAATGAGTGACACCCTAGCAGTTTACATCTTTGAAGAGAACCATGTGGTTCAAGAGAAGATCTGGTCTGTGTTGGAGTCCCCAAGGGGTGTTTGGATGCAAGCTGAAATCACCTTTAAGAAGCCCATGCCTACCAAGGTACAGTAGAGCCAATTTCTCCTGTGTCCATGTTCAGTTGCTGGACTAGATTTGTGAATGTCCGTCTAGCTACTGTCAACTGGTGATGTATTATTTTCCTTCTGTTCAGGCCTACGGCCTCACCCTTACACCCTACTCCCAGCCACATACAGGTTAATCCTTCAGTTATTTTCTGTTTTCTGGGTCTCTGAATCACAGCCACCTAGAGAGTTTGCTTTTTGTTTATCTCTTAAATTCCCTAAGACTAATTCAAAGACTGAGAGTACATGAATTGTCCAAGTTCAACAGCTGAACTTTAGTTTGAAACTTTAGTCATAATTCTCTCTCTCTCTTTTTCTTTCCCTCCCTCTTTCTCAAACACACATACACACACTAGTGGGAATGCTAGTATTTTAAAAAGGTGAAATCAGTGAGCCTGGTTCTGCATTGAGGCTTTAAGGTTAACAACCTAAGGCTCTAGCTGAACACAGGATGAGGAAGCTCATTAAAAAATATAGAACCAACACCACCCTAGCCAGAGAGAATTTACATAAGGGAACCGTCAGCATCTGATTTTTATATAAATGAGAATATAAAAAGAGATCTTTATTGCAAGGGGAATGGAAAAGAAAGCTGAAATCTCTCAAGCTTAGCAACTCATAAACTTAAAGAAGTTTTACAGATGCAATAAATTCTGTCAACTGCAACTCAGAATGAAACCAGTGTGGGAAAAATCCATTTTGCTTCAGCCTGTGTCAGTCAATCAGCAAATATCTCTTGAGTATCCTGTCGTGTAAGAAAGGGTCCCAAAGAAAAATAAGAAAGTGCTATCCTTCAAACAGATAACTCACACAGTGGTAGTTCAATAAACATTGTTGAATGAAGGAAGGAAGGAATGAATGAATGAGTCTATCACATTCAAATCCAGGAGTCACCCAAAGTGCAGGCTCCCCTGGGGAAGGTGCAAACTTGGGGGAACAGTAGAACCTGCACAGACATTCATAGCCCGAACTTCTCTTGGTTACAACCATCTGGATAGAATCATAGCTGTGTCCATCTATAACTTCCTGCCAAAGAAATCTAGTACACCACTTTTATCACAATATTGCCTGGTTACTTTTAGTCCATTACAAAACCCTCCAGGACATCATTAAACTTTACCATGGTTAATCAAAGATCTCTGAAAATCTTTTGTTTCCATTGCTAGGTAAGAAGAAAAACTATTTTCCATTGCTAGGCAGGAATAGCATGGCAACCTCCTTGACGTACTGATTTCTAAAAGAGTTAAACTGATTTCTAATACCTCTAGCAGAGTAGCAGCATCTAAGTTTTACCACAATCTTACAGAAACGGCTTCTTATTATTTGTATGCGAATTAAGTAGATAGTGTTGTAAGTATTCCTTACGTGATTTTATCAGTCTTTGATCACCTAACTAAATTGAGCTATATTGCTCAGCTCCCTGGAGGAGAGAGGAAGCAAACAGGTGTTTCTGGTACCATGTTTCTACCCTTAGCTTAGACTCTTGCTCTTTAAGCTCATTGCCTAGACAATATCAAATAATTTTTGAACAAGCCTTTCTTCCTATAAATGTCATCTTATAGATGGACTCTTGCAGCAGCATTATTGAACTTTCCTCTTCGATTTACTAGTACTGGAGAAATCCAAGTTTCTCTGCACTTCTTAGGGACCCCAAAGGCCTAACTTGAGTTCCCATTACCAATTATTTAACTCTTACAAGTAGTTATAGTAATACACACACATGCACGCATGTACACACACACATGCACACACATACACACAAGCAAATACCAGAGTCCCACAATCAGGGGTGCACTAGAAAGTAATGGAATCTTCGTTACACTCTATGTCCTATTTTGCTGATTTTTTTAAAGGAGGATAAAATAAGCATTTTATTTATTCATTTGGCTTTGATTTAATTATTTATTTATTTATTTATTCATTCGTTTTCTTTACTCAACCAGTGTTTATTAGGTATATGCTCAGTACAAGGAATATAAAAATGAATGAGGCTCAGATCCTACCCTTGAAGAAGAAGAGATCACAGATGATAGAAGATTGAGATATGTAAGCAACTAACTACCATGCAATGTCATGTAAAGCCCACAGAAGGGCTACATAAAAAGACAGAGGAGTAGTTTTACCAGTTGCTGTAAAAAATAATGACAAATAGAGACCCAGCTGAGCCAGTGTTTAGACGGTTAAAATTCAGGCCATGCTGTATTCTAGAAAACTCCTGCTCATCACTCCACTCACCTCCCCCGACCCTACTTTATCCTCTATTAACAACATGAGTTGTTTAGGAATCTGCCCATTCCTTTATAGTGAGTCTCTGCTTATACCTGAATTGGTGCACGCCTCCTAGCAGATAAGGGTGCCCCTAGGAATTTGCCCTTTTCTTCTTTGGAGGCCAACTACCAAGCCGCCCAGCAACTGCACAGTTCCCCACAACCACTTAGGGAAAAATGGATCTAGACCCAGTTGGGGCAGAGAAGTTCTTACAGCACTCAGAAAGAACTAGTCATGGATTCAGCCCCAGTGCAGATGAGGAGACAGTATAGTTCAACACTAGAAAACTCTGGCTACATGTCTCAAAGTGGCCCTTAGTTCTTGGCAGGTCCCTGTTAGATAGAAATAGCTTCTCAGAGAGCAAAAGAACCATTTGACATCCATCATAGAAGCATGCATTGGGTAAGCAGGAAACTAAAGTTCACTTACTTATATAACATATACAGGTAGAAATAAACATACAAAAATATATTTAAGACAAGGGATAAAATGAGAAATCAGAGTTTCCCTCACTAGTCCCTACTGCTGAACTCAAAATTCCACTTCCAGTCAGGAGTAGTGGCTCACACCTGAAGTCACAACACTCTGGGAGACTGAGGCGAGTCGATCACCTTAGGTCAGGAGTTCGAGACCAGCCTGGCCAACACGGCAAAACCCCATCTCTACTAAAAAAATACAAAAATTAGCCAGGCATGGTGGCACGTGCCTGTAATCCCAGCTACCCATGAGGCTGAGACAGGAGAGTCACTTGAACCCAGGAGGCGGAGGTTGCAGTGAGCCAAGATCACGCCACTGCACTCCAGCCTGGGCAACAGAGCAAGACTCCATCTAAAAATAAATAAATAAACATCAAGACTAACTGCCTCATTTGGTTGGGTGTGGTGGCTCACGCCTGTAATCCTAGCACTTCGGAAGGCCAAGGCAGGCATATCACCTGTGGTCAGGAGTTCGAGACCAGCCTGGCCAACATGGTGAAACCCCATCTCCACTAAAAATACAAAAATTAGTCAGGCTGGGTGGTACACACCTGTAGTCCCAGCTACTCAGGAGGCTGAGGCACAAGAATCGCTTGTGCCACCAGGAGGTGGAGGTTGCAGTGAGCCAAGATCATGCCACTGTGCTCCAGCCTGGGTAACAAAGCAAGATTCCATCTCAAAAAATAAATAAATAAATACATAAATATTTAAAATTCTACTTCCACTTCTTGTTTTTCTGATGGT
Organism: Homo sapiens; assembly: GCF_000001405.40. Taxonomy (NCBI): domain Eukaryota; kingdom Metazoa; phylum Chordata; class Mammalia; order Primates; family Hominidae; genus Homo; species Homo sapiens. The sequence goes on from NW_003315930.1 coordinate 123,213, forward strand.
TTTTCTTCCTGATTCACTGATGGCTTCCTCTATAACTCTATATTTCCACCTCTGTTTCTTGATTCATTAACCTTAGCTGTGTTGGCTGACTCCCTACTATGAAAGAGAAGGAACTTATACTATTCCTTCTGCTTTTCTCTCTCTTCCTCGTAATTTTTAGTTTTGTTTTTATTTTGAACATTTTTCTTGGTTCCCTTTACAACTTTAGTACACTAAACCATTTATTTTTGGATCCATAAACTTTAGACAGTGTCTCTTGACACCCCACCATGTTAAAATGAATAAATCTCCCCCGACCCCGCATTTCCCTTCACCTCTCTTACCCCCTTGACTTCCCAAATTCTCCCAGATACACAATTACTGAACTTTCACATTGTTATGGCGTAGAACATTTATATTCCTACAGTTAAGCCTTCTGTGTTTGCTTATTGCATGATTTCCCTATGAGGGCGCCCTTGGCATTTTGAAGAGGACAGTTGTGCCTTTGCAGTGAGAACATTTCTCACCTTACTGGATGTTTAGCATCTGTGATTATTGCAACAACCAAAATTATTTCCACACATTTCCAAATGGCCCTAGAGGTGTCATCCTATCCTTGGATGAGAACCATTGGTCTTTAAATTGAATCTGACAATTGAAATTAAAAACCATCCTCACCTGCCATTCATTCTTGCTCCCCTGCAATCTGTCTCTGTCCAGCTGTAGAGTTATCGTGCTGCAACCCTCCTCTGCAGGGACCCTTTGGCTTCCTATTGCTTTTAGAGAAAAGGCATGCTCTAGCATCAGCCACCTCCCCAGGTTTACGTCTTGCATTTTCCATTCTAATCACACTGAGCAATCAGTTCCTGGGACACACTCTGCTCTCTCCTACCTTAGATTATTGCATTCCCTGTTGCCTCTGCCTACACTCTTCTTATTTAGATCTCAGCTTAAACATCACTTCCTCAGAGAATCCTTCTCTGACCCCACTCTCCACTTCTATCCAGCATGGCCAGGTTAGGGTTCCCTGGCATCCTATGCTTCCCCTCCATCATCTTGGAGACAGCATAACATAGTGATTAGGAGAACAGACACAGCAATCTCTCTAGTTTTAAACCCCAAGTCTGCCACTTACTAGCTTTGCAATCAGAGTCAGTTTTCTTAATTTCTCTCTTAATTTTCCATCTGGGACCAAAAACCTAGCAATATACTTGGCACTCAGTTGATGCTCAATAATTGTCTGTTGACTGATTGCCACATTCTGACTTTTGAGCAGGGGTTATTCACCCTTATTAAAATCACCTAGGGAGGGCCAGGCATGGTGGCTCACAACTGTAATCCCAGCACTTTGGGAGGCCAAGACAGGCATATCATCTGAGGTCAGGAGTTGGAGACCAGCCTAGCCAACATGGTAAAAGCCCGTCTCTACTTAAAAATATTTTAAAGGCCAGGCGCGGTGGCTCACGCCTGTAATCCCAGCACTTTGGGAGGCCAAGGCGGGCGGATCATGAGGTCAGGAGATCGAGACCATCCTGGCTAACATGGTGAAACCCCGTGTCTACTAAAAATACAAAAAATTAGCCGGGCGTGGTGGCAAGCACCTGTAGTCCCAGCTACTCAGGAGGCTGAGGCAGGAGAATGGCGTGAACCCGGGAGGTGGAGCTTGCAGTGAGCCGAGATCGCGCCACCGCACTCCAGCCTGGGCAACAGAGCAAGACTCTGTCTCAAAAAAAAAAAAAAATTTTTTTTTTTTTTTTATTAGCCAGGCATGGTGGTGCAAGCCTATAGTCCCAGCTACTCTGGAGGCTGAGGCAGGAGAATTGCTTGAACCCAGGAGGTGGATGGAGGTTTCAGTGAGCCAAGATTTGCACTCCAGCCTGGGTGACAGAGCAAGACCCCATCTCAAAAAAAAAAAAAAAAAGAAATTATAAAGCTGTGGAGCTTTATAATGCTGATGTCCAAGTGTTACCTCAAACCAGGGAAAGCAGACCCTGAGATGGAGACTTACTTGCAGGAAGTTTATGAGGGTTGCTCTTGGGATCACCACTGAAGGAAAGGAAGGAAAGGAAGCAGGATCAGGCAGGGGAAGCTGTCGGGCTGCAGTGCATTCTCAAGGAAGGCCTCAGCTGACCTACAGGGAGCTCTGAAACTGGTGTGGCCTTTCAGAGTTGTCCTGTTTCAGAGCAATGTTGTCTTTATAGTCCCATATTGATTGGTCATTGGATGCTGGCTACCTCAGGAAGAGGGTATTGCCTTGAAATGCCGAGCAACTTTCCACAGATTATTAACAAGCCGAGTGCTGTCCACTGGCTACACTTTCAGCAACTGGGAGAATAAGCCCTTCATTCCTGAAGGATCAGTTGGGCGGTGCATCTACTATACTGATTAGGTCAGAATCTTTTGGTGTGGGGCCTGGGAATCAGTATTTTATAAAGTGCACCAGGGTATTGTAACATCCAACATAGAGAACTATTGCTCTGAATAACCACAATAAAAGCAAAAAAGAAGAGAGCAATAAGAAAGGCCGTGTATTTCAGGCTCATATGCAGCTGAGCTGCACTGAAACCAGGCATGGTAGCCCAGCAGATTTTGTGGTAGCCAAAGGCCTGTGCAAGGATATGTCTGTGTAGTGCCCCTGCCCAGGTCCCCCACCCTGAAGTGCTGGGAGACGTTCCTGTGACCATACAGCTGGGCAGCAACAGAGTTAGATGAATGGTCTTCCTGCCCCTAGGTAGCTTTTTCACTGTGAGTGACTCAGAAAGCTGGAGTCAGATCAGTAGTCCTCATGTGTACCCTGTAAGCCAGGAACCCCTGTCAAGGCTTCAGAGATCAAGAGTTTTCCAGAGCTATGACACCCAAACCTACGCTACTGTTTTCCACATGTGGTTTCTGTCCACAGAGAGTACATGTTTCTCCAAAATTCTTGCCATTGAGAAAGGAGTTTTAAGTCACAGAGCACCCAAATAAGCATACGGCCAACACTTGTCAGGTGTCACAGTCTGTCTGGAAGCTTCATATTGGCTGTTGTGGGTGGTTTAATAACTCAGTATTGACTTTACTTCCAAACTGATGACAGTTTAACAGATTTTTCTGAGCCTATTGAGCTTAGCATACATTTTGTATTAGTTGGAATTTCTAATGACTGAGTCCTGAAATGAACTTGCTGGAACTTCTAGAAGGTTCAGAGTTCAACCTGGGTCAGAACAAGGCACAAGCTGGCTGTTTATCAAGTACCTACTTTGTGCTGGGCAGCACATGCTCTCTTGTTCAGTCCTTAATACGCTACAGTAACACCAAATTTAGGTGAAGAAACTGAAGTTTCAGGAAATTTAAATAGTTTGATTCTTCCTGTTTCCTTGCCACTTTTCCCTAAATTCCAGACGAAACCCTTCAGTGACACCCCTAAAATTCATCTCAAACATGTCTACTTCTCTCTCTCCAGCCACCACCCTAGTCTAAGCCACCATCATTTCTTACTTAAATGACTTCAATATCTTCGTAGCTGGATCTTCTCTTCCATCTTACTCTCTCTATACTCCAGAGAGAGACAGAGAGACGCAGCAGCCAGAATCATTTCTTTGAAACAGGAATCAAATCTTGGACCTCCCCTGCGTGAAACTGTTCTATGGCCTTCAGAATAAAGCTTCATCCCATACTGTGGTTTTTGAGGTCCTGCACAGTTGGATCACTGCCCACTTTGCTGGCTTCATCTGCCTTCATTCTGCCACATTCATAGAGTCCCACAGTCCACATAGTTACGTGGGCCTTCTCTCTGTTCCTTGAGTCCCAAGGCCTTTCCTAGCCCAGGGCCAGTGCTCTGCACAGGGGGTGCCTCCTGCCCTAGCCATTCCCATATCAAGCTGGCTCCCATGCTTTTGTCCCAGGTCAAGTGCTTCCTCTCAGAAAGGAACATTCCTGACTGCCGCCCAGTTTATAACCACTTTCCTCATACCCAGATTACTCCCCATTAGTTTGCCCAGTTTATTTTGTGTATAACATCCAAATCTGAAATGATCTCATTTGTTTATTTGTTACTTGTTTATTGTCCATCTCTTTTCCTGTGAAAATACAGCCTTCATGAGGACAGGGACCTTGTCGGTCTTGTTCATCTCTGTATCCACAGCATCTAGCACTGTGCCCTGGTGCAAAGTAGGTCATCAGTAAAATTCTGTTCAATAAATTTTGTTTGGTACATATGTGGTCAATGAATGAATAAAAGAATGAGTGGGTGGACTTTCTAGGGTTGGGAAGTGGCAGAGCTGGGGTCTGAATCATGGTCTAGTCAACTTTGAAGCCTGCCTTTTAGTGCAGGGTATCTTTGGGTGGTCAAGGTCTCTCTCCAATCTTAGGGAAGGCCTGTTCTTGCGCACCTGGAGAAAATGAGGCTCTTCAAGCCTGCCTTGGGGTGTAGGCACCTTTTGTTATTTAATTCTCACAGTACTCCTGTGAGGGAAGTAAAGTATTTCTTTTCAGTGTCCTTGACATTTTAGAATGCAGTCTAGCTTAAGGTCCCCAAGATGATCTAGTAGAAATGAATGCCTAAACTGAGAGCCTGGCACACATGTGTCACCTGCCTATGCTTTTTGTGACCTCTGAACCCATTCTAAAGCATGTCAGGTGTGTTCTTGAGGGCCCAACTCAAAGACAGTACGTGCCTTCATGAACATTATTTCCACCTCTCAGTGAGTTGTCACATGTGACCAGAGCTGAGGTGAGTGAGCAGCAGCCCGCACAGAACTGTAAAGAAGTCCAGCCTTTCAGCTTCTCTCCAGTTATTTCCCTCACTCCTGATGCCTGCCTTCTGCCTCCCCTGTGCCTTTCTGATGGCCTCCCACTCTGGATGTTGCTTTACCTTGCTTTCTCCTATTTGCAGTTATCCAACCTGTTTTAAGGACAATGGGCTGCTTATTAATAACCCCTTGCTGTCTTCCCTGGGTAGTTTAATCTTTGGCAGAAACTATAGGGATGAAGCAACAACAGACCATTCTAGCAAAGTAGCCTTATGGACAGATTCTGTGTGATATTATCACAGCCTCCAACAACAGAGGCTAGGCTGTTGTTGAACACTCTCCAGCACTTCATTTGATGCCACAGCTCCCTAGGAAGGAAAGCAGTCCAGCGCCATTTAACAGATGAGGAATGCTCAGGCAGAAAATTAAGGACATTGTTCAACATTACACAGCTATTAAGTGGCTGAACTGAGAAGCAGATCCAGGTCTTTTTGACTCCAGAATTGATGCTTTTTACACTAAGCCTAGTGTAAAAAGCCTCCCAGCCCTCGCCTGGCTAACATCAAAAGTGTAGGATCAGGTCCAGCCCTAACTCTCAGGATTCCTGAAAAAAATTTGGACTTTATTTTTAACCTTCTGGTGTTCTAGTTTAGAAATAACTTTGGCTCCTAGGAGGGGTCAAAATTCGGCATTATAGTTTGAGCTAGTTATGTAACCTTCCTGAGCCTTCCTTTTCTTTCATGTGTAAAATGGGTATACCAGGAGTATAGCCATATATCCATAGTACCTGGTAAAGCTCAAAGGCAATGCATCATATAAAGTTCTTAGCATATAAAGTTCTTAGCATAGTACCCACACATATCATTTATTAAATTTAGCTGAGCAGAGAGAAAAAGACTAATGAATGTTTTTTTCTTAGTCCTGATCCCCATAAGGTTTTATAGACAACATCTCTTTAATACGTGGATAATTCTACACCTGATTTTTGCTCTGAAGTTCTTTAAACTAAAAATCAGGTTAGAATTAAACCTTTATTTTAATAAGATGATACTTTCTTAAAGAAATGGCTGCTTTTATACAATTATAAACAGTTTACAATAATAAAACTTTATTTAATGTTTTAAGAAACGTTTTGAAAAAGGATGAATCATGAAATGGTCCTCTGGATCTGTTTTTCCTCTTTATGAAATAGAGAGCAGGTAATCAACAGTTACATTGAGACTTTCACACATTAAGGAGGATAATGAGGAGAGAGAACAATTCAGTCCAAAACACTTTTCCTAAAGGCCAAATATTAGGAAAGACTAGAGAGTGATTGTCAGAAATTCCATAACAATGGACACAAACATTAGCCCTTATATATTCAAATCCTTAGTTTATCTTTATGCTTGGTCACCCATGGTAGCATACATATTAGATCCTGCAACGCCTTCTGGCCTGAAGCTAGCCTTTCCTTTAACAAAGATCGTTCAGTGGTCTGTTAATTAGAAGCACTGGGAGGAACTCGATATTGTGTTCATTAAATATTTCTTTTGGAGAAAAATCGTTAAACAGTCCATAAATGAAAATGACTAAAGGCATTCCATTTCACTGGGATCAGGCTTAATAATCAGCCCAGCAGTCATTAAAATCTTCATGGTAAATCCTTTTAAGTCTGCATCTTTACTCTGTCATAGGACTGAAAAAAAAAACTTCAAAGTCATTTATGTATTTGGGAGAAAGCCCCCATCCAACCAGTTTTTAAAAATATAAATACATATTTTTTTTTCACTAGGTGAGAATCTTGTGTCAGCCCTTCTCATCTTATGTCTCGTGGAGCACAAATGCCTTGAGATATTCCATTGAAAAAGAGTTCTGTTGTCAGATGAGTTTGCAGAACTTGGCAGACTGGATCTCTACTCCACACACATGAAGATTCACAAAGCACAGTGACATATTAGAAACTCTCAGTAAGGTTGACATTAAAGAATCCAGTTTAACCTTGTTAAAGGGTGGCAATTTTCTCAAAGCAATTAACCTAGAACCCTTGTCTTGTATAGCACCTATCACCATCATACTACTCTCATAGCACTTAATGCATTATGTTGAAATTGTACTTACCTGTCTCGTTAAATCAGATGTAAGCTTCTGGAGAATACGGCTCCATGTTTTTTGTTTTGTTTTGTTCTTTTAATTCCTAACATCAAGGCAATTTCTGGAACAGAGTGGGTTCTCCTGTTAGTAACCCACTAAATAGTTAAGACAGAAAACTATACTATCAATGAATAGGTGTTGATGGTAAGGAAGAACATAATTCCATCAAAGGAAAAAGGAAGATTAAATGTTTCTGCCTTTGGCTAAGATAAACTATAATCCCTTATAGCATAGCACCTGAGCAATTTGTCCTACAAGGAATTTTAGTGTGAATACTTAAAACCAGGAATACCTGGCTAGAGTGAATATTAAGACATTTATGGTATGCTGAGTCCGATTTGGAACAATTTTTTTTTTTTTTTTTTTTGAGACAGGGTCTCTGTTGCCCAGGCTGGAATGCAGTGGCACGATCATGGTTCACTGCAGTCTCCACCTCCTGGGCTCAAGCAGTCCTCCCACCTCAGCTTCCCAAGTAGCTGGGGTGCAGAGCCAGCTAATTTATTTTTCATTTTTTGCAGAGACAGGGTCTCACTAAGTAGCTCGGGCTGGTCTGAACTCCTGGCCTCAAGCTCTCCTCCCACCTCAGCCTCCCAAAGTGCTGGGATTACAGGCGTGAGCCACCGTGCTTGGCTTGTTTTGGAACTTTTTATGATGGTATTTACTAAAACCAAGAACTGTGATTCTTCCCTTTGAAACAGCTTCCCATTCTTAAACTGTGCCTTTTCCTATTCCCAAGAACCTAAATCAAGTTTTACCAGCCCCCATGCAAATCCCAATCCTTTCCCTGCCCCACAACACAGCTTATCCAGCCTCCATTCTGCGATCATGGTCAGTGATGTGGTTGCTTCCACGTCATACCCTCCCCACCTGCAGGTCTTCCTGGCTTCTCCACCTTGGTCCTCCTAATGCCTGGAAACCCAGGGTAGCTTTCATCTTTACCCCAGTCTTCTCAGCACAGCTGGAGAAAATAAGACTAATCTCCACTGTCCCCTCCATTCTGCTGGGAAAGCCTTTTATGCATCTCATCTCTTGTTGACTTTTCCTCATCCCCCATCCCAGATATTCAGGTCTATTTTCACTCGCAAATTTCCAACTTGACCCTCCCTGCCTCATTCTTAGGATGTGATCTCATGGGTTCATCTCCCAAAGGATAAAGGCATCCAACACAAGCTCCTTCAGTTCTGTTCCTCTCTGAATCTTCACCTGCCTCTCTTCATCTCCTGATCAATCTGACAAAGAAAGTATTATCCTTGCTCTTCGTCAAAACCAACCTGCCCATCTAGGCATTTGATCTCACCTTCTTGCCTCCTCTGGGAACTTATTTCATAAATTATTCCCTCTCTCGTAAATCTTCAATCTCCATTAGTCCTTTGCATACTGCCAATATATGTTAGTCTCCTGCATTCGACACCGATGAACAATAAACCTTCCTTTCATCTCAGTACCCATTTAAGTTGCCAATCCCTCCCATTCCTTCAGCCTCCAAACTTCTGGAAAGATGTATCTTCAATTATTGTCTTCACTCCAGTGTGGCTTCTCATTCCTCAAATCCTTGTCTTCTGCCCTCTGCCTTCCTCCTCCAATGCTCCCTCAGCGTTTATCAACAGCAAAGTATATCTCATTGATCTTGTTGCAGAAATCATTATACATACCCAGGAAAGTCCTATGCTTCTCTCAATGTCTACCTCAAATGCCTCTTCCTCTTTGAATCTTTTATAAGTCATTGACTTGGGTTTTACTTGTTGGAATGGTATTTGTGTAATGAAGGAGCTCTAGTTCAGGAATATAAAGAGTTGCCCTGACTCTAGCATTTACTATCTAAATCAGAATGTCATGTCACCTTTCTATGAAACAAGGACATGTTTTAAAATGACTTCTAGGTCTCTTCTACCTCCTGTTATATTTTTGGCATCTTAATAGCAGAAACTGTGTTTTAACATTGTGCAACATGGTTCTTGTTGGTAATTTTCTCTACTCCTTCATTTTCTCTTACAAAAATCTTTCCCTTTTAGGAAAAAAAAAGTTGAAGTTTAAGTCTTTGATTCAAATTTCCACTTTTAAAATCTTTTTAACTATGCCCTTACAGAATGACAATATGATTACATGTAAAATACCTAGGGTTCTGAAATTTTAAAGGCAGCTCTAGAAGTTCACTCGAATAGAAGAGCAAGTCTAGAAAGTTTCTGTAGAGATTTATAAATAGTTGGCTATTTAACAGCCAGACACCCTGCTATAAAGAGATTAAGGAAGCAGAAAACCAATGTGTAGACAAGACACATGAGAGGAGGTGAATTTCCTATCACATTTCATGATGTCTGGGAACACTGGAAGAGAACTGCTTCAGGATATTAATGTCCCAGCATTATTAAAGCAGAGCAGCTGAGAGCAAAGTAGAAATAGAAAGGTCATTAATTACTGACAAGATAATCAACACATTATAGAGCAGATTAAGGTGGCTTTGTACACAGAACAAGGAAAATTATACTGTCAAGTGGAATAAGTTTTCATGTCAAAGAATAAGGAGCTAAGTATGGAAAAGGAACCTACTCTTGAGTTTTTCAAGCTAAACTCAGCATCATTTGTGAGTTCATGAATTCTACATTGCTTTAAATATGAGTAAGGCAGGCTGAGATACTCTTGTTTTCCTTCTGTTTCATTTCCTTTCAGTTATTTGTTGAGACCTTCTGTGTTTCATGCCAACTTATGAGAAAATTACTGGGAAGATAGATTAGCACAACTGGTAGTTGCTGACACATACTTTACACGAACATAGTGTTTATGTCAGTCCATTCTTTCGTGAGTTTTCTGAGTAATTTCATGGAACATTGTTGGATCAGCAATTTGTTCTCCCAGCAATATGGAGACATCCGAAAAGACAGACCAGGCATTCTTTCCCTATAGTTTTACTAATAAGCTTAATTAGGCAAACATTTATTCCAAAGTTTGTTTATGAACCTGAAAATACCACTTCCCTTCCCCACTTCCAAACTTCTATCTTGTGAATATTTCACAGCCGTACAGTCATTGCATTTTAAAGAAATATTTTCCCAAATTCTAGGTGATGCCACATTATTTTTTGATGCTCGCATTGAGATTCTCTGGGGATCCTCTGGTTTTCTGAGCTCATAGACCAAATAAGTATTTGCTGGCCTCTAGAGCTATAAGCTCAACTCATGCAATTAGAAATTGACAATTCACACATTAATAAAGACTCTCTAATTTCACCAGAGGAAACATACCTTATTTCCTTTTGCATAGATATGCCTACCTTTCCCTCCTCCTCTTATATGTCTTTCTCTGGATATTTTCTGCACTATCTGTTTAGTACTTACTTCTAGTAGAAGTCTCTCTCCAGTGAGTCCACAAATCACTTCCCTCTGGCATATCCCACCACATCACTGACAGTCCATGAGCATTTACTTTTGTTTAGTATCAGGTTACATGTTTATCTATACGATGCTCAAAGATAAATTACTATTTGTGGCCCTCCCATTTCATCTCAATCTTCAAACCAAGACATTTGGTTCTGCTTTATTCAAACGAGGAATGCCACATAAACAAATCTGAAAGGCAAATGTCAAGTCAGAGGGGGAAAAAAAGGTTGCAACATATGCAACAAAGTCTTAATACATTTAAAATAAATATATAAATCTAATAAATCAATAAGCCAAAGGTAAACTAAGCAATAGGAAAGCGGATAGGATATATACAGGCAAATCAGAAAAAAAGAAATATAACCAGAAAATAAATGCACAAATATACCCAACCTCATTATAATCAAAGACATTATGTTTTTAGACAGGGTCTTACTCTGTCACCCAGGCTGGAGTCCAGTGGTGTGATCATAGCTCACTGTAACCTTGACCTCTGCAAGGTCAGGTGATCCTCCCACCTCAGCCTCCCAAGTAGCTGGAAGTACAGGTGTGCACCATCATGTACAGCTAATTTTTGCATTTTTTGTAGAAATGTGGTCTCACTATTACCCAGCTTGTCTCAAACCCCTGGGCTCAAGCGATCCACCCATGTATGACCTCCCAAAGTGCTTTACAAGTGTTAGCCAACACACCCAGCCAAAGAAATCTTAAAAGTAATGAAATAATACATTTGTCTATCAAAATATTTTAAAAACATAATACCCTGGAGTATGATGTTTGTATTAATTGCTGTATTTATACTGTACTGTTTGTATTGTTCAATTTATGAATTAAAACATAAATCTTTCACTTTAGATGCAAGTATAAATATATATACCCATTTATATATATACATATATGCATATTTGGGTCTAAAGTGAAATATTTATTTTTAAATATATATAATATGTACATATATACATATAAATGTTTTCTGGTCTAAGTGAAAGATTTATTTTTCAATATATGTACTATACATATGTATACATATTAATGTTTTCTAAAGTGAAAAAATTTTTAATTGATAATTGAATAAATACATTCAAATGTACTTATATATGTATATACAGTCATGTATCACTTAATGATAAGGATACATTCCAAGAAATGTGTTTGTTAGGCAATTTTGTCCTTGTGAGGATATCATAGAATATTTATACAAACCTAGATGGTATAGCCTACTACACACCTAGACTGTATGGTATAGCCTATAGATCCTGGGCTTTAAACCTATACAGCATGTTATTGTATTAAATAATGGCAACAGTTACAACACAATGGTAAGTATTTTTGTATCTAAACATATCTAAAGAGACAGAAGTACAGTAAAAATATGGTAGTATAATCTTATGGAACTACCATTGTACATGCAGTCCATCATTGACTGGAATGTCATTATGCAGTGTATGACTGTATATGTATATATATAAACATATATGTGTGCATGCATAATACACACACACACACACACACACACACACACACACACACGTATAACATTACCCTGGAAAGGTGAGGATGCAAGGAAATAAGGATTATCATGTGCTCTTATATGAGGGTAAATTGGCACAATGTTTTAATAACAATTTAATTACATGAATAAAAAAGGAAGCGCTCAAACATGCATACTTTATTACATAACAATTCTACATCTAGGGATTTATCATAAGGAAATAATCATGGTTATGCACAAAGATTTAGCTATAATCGTTCATTCCAGTAATATTTATAATACTGAGAGAGTGGAAACTACCATATTGTCTATTATTAGGGGTTGGTTAAATAAGTGTGGCATAGGTTAAAAAGGGGTAAGAGTTACGTAAGCTTTAAACTGCAGCTCTTCTTCACTTCATGGATCTACACTTTGGCTTGGGAATCAATGAAAATCAGGCTAATTGCCTCTATGTCTCAGAGGTGGGTAGGGCAAAGTCAGCATTCTTATTAGCAGAGGATTGCTAAAAGTGCTTGCTGTCTTCTTCAGGCCCAGGAGGGGTTCATCTAGAGCAGAGTGAGCCCTTGAGAGGCAAGAGGAGGACCTAGATTCTTCCTTTTTGCTGTTTGTGGATTGCATTCTATAAATCTATCTTCTGGCAGGACTGACGTTTTTGTAACTCCAAGTGAGCCACAACAATGACTCCAATTATAATGCCTGTCCTTGGACATGACAATTAAATTGGTCTTTACATTTTATTACATTACATTTGTCAGGGCAGTGTTTGACCAGGAGAACTCCCTATGGGAGGTGGGCCAGAGAGAAACCACATTGTATTTTTAGCCCAGCACTGATTTTTTTTACACAAAATCACAGGCAGCCCGGAGGCCTATTAGAAATCACCAGACTGGCTGGGCACGGTGACTCACACCTGTAATCCCAGCACTTTGGGAGGGTGAGGCAGACAGATCACTTGAGGCCAGGAGATCAAGACCAGCCTGGCCAACATGGTAAGACCCTGTCTCTACTAAAAGTAAAAAAATTCGCAAGGCATGGTGGCGCATGCTTGTAATCCCAGCTACTCAGGAGGCTGAGACACGAGAATCCCTCGAATCCAGGAGGGAGAGGTTGCAGTGAGCCGTGATTGCGCTACTGCACTCTAGCCTGGGCAACAGAGGGAGACCCTGTCTCCAGAAAAAAAAAAGAACAAAAAACAGAAGTCACCAGATGGTCACCTGCCCTCTTGAGGAGTACATGTAAAAATCAGGAAGGCATTTGCACCTATTTTCCTTCAGTGATAATGAAAGCTTTATGGGGTAATTAAATATAATAATGTCTTCATTATTAGGGTGGGGAATTAGAGACTAAAACATTAAAAATGATGTCAGCTTTGTCTAATGTTCATTTTTTTCAGAGGTTTTTCTCATTTATTTTCCACTTGCATCTTCAACATTAATTGTGTAGGATTAGTCTTCTCTGTCCCACCATGAAAAGAACATGAACTTTGCAATCAGACACACTTTGCTCTCAAAACAAGGGGGAAAAGTGAAAATGGGTGCAAGTGAAGATAAGGGTGTAGATGTGGATGTCGGAGAAGCTGTGAGCATTCTTTCTGGGGGGCCTACATTTTCAGCGCAGAGCAGGGCAGTGATGTCTTCGGCTAAGGGTGAGAAGGACGTGGCTGAGGTGAGGGAAGAGCTGCTGTGGAAAGGAGGAGATACTATGGCTGGTTCGACATTAGCCAGTTCTGAAAATCAGCCACAATCTATGTAAGAGTCAGGCTCCTGTGCTGAGTTACCAAAATACTCCATCAACAAACGTAAGGCAAAATGACAGGAAGCTTGTAAACACAAGTCAAAGAAATGTTTGGTCCCATGCTATTAACTGGGGAGTTGCATCATGTCTCTCAGAATCGTATTTTAAGATACCTAAAGCAAAATAGGGAAAATGAGGGGGCTGTATAATGAAATACATTCTATCAGGGATCAGGAAGGGGTGTAATGTTTCATACCCGAGTCTGCAACTGGCTGTTGTGTGAGCTGCTATCACAGGCTCTCTGGACCTGTTCTTCATTCTAAAAAATAGCTGATTCTGTGGTCCCTTCTGGAACCTCCCCTCCCCTTACAGTGGCCTAAAGATCAGAAAATAAAGCAGATTTCTGAAATCTTTGAGTTGAGAGATTTGGATGTTTACCATCCAAATAGCAATGAAAAAGTTCAGCTACAGGCCTGTATTCTATCACAGTGTGGTCCCTAGCCCAGACCTGAAGGCTCCTGGGAGCAGAAAGACTTTCACACTGAGAAAAGCTGGAAGCTGCTTGATCTCTGTCGCTTGTAAGAGCCAAAAGTTGAATTAAATCAGATGGGTCTTTTAAAAAAGAAAAAACTAACCAGATGGGTCCTTTAAGAAAAAAAGTATTGGTCAGCTAAAAACTTATTTAAAAACACATGGTCATTCTGCCTTTTGTGGGAGATGAAGACCAAATATAGTATCTGCAGCAGGCATGCTTTTGCAATTTTGCAGCTATTTCTCAAAACAGTGCTAGGTTCTAAGAATGCTAAAGCCTCACACTTACTTTTCTAGATAAAGCTTCACTTAGTCTGCCTTCAGGGATTTGTAATAATTTCATCCATTTTGCCAAGTATCTCAATATTGAAATTTTTTAAAAACTCTATTACAACTTATTGTCAAACAGTTAAATGAATGCAATTACATCGTATAGTATATCTTACAGATGTGTCAGTAGCATCTTAATGAAGGGCTCTGGAATTTCACTGACTGGATTATAGTAATTTTGTGAATAATTATGCCACCAACTCTGTAGTTGTCGTAACCAAATTTATCTGTGCAAATGATTTCAAAAGATTTTAACCTCATCAGAAGAAAAGTTAAATTTAACTCAAAATCAAACCGTCTGGGAAATTGTTGAGGTCTACCACTTATAATAAGAACTTAACTAGGTTCATTTTGTGAAAATGGGTAAGTTATGATATTGTTGGCACAGGACTGAAATGTTTCTATCCAAATATAGAAGGCAATTTCTGGAAGCTATCATTTACATGCTAATTATAGGCCTAAATGGGGCCATTCAATTGGTAAAGTAGATGGTGGATTAACCCAACAACCTAGTCTACCATGTCTATCAAGCAGGTCATGGAATCTACTCTAAAAGGCAGTGAAAAAATATTTAATACAGCCAGTGTTTAGTTCTTTAACACAAACAGTCCTTTTGAACTATATAACAAAGATTTGATTTGATTTGACTTCACAGCACCCAACAAAATTTATTTCCTCCATTTCCTGGCAAAATTCTATTCATTATATTTGGTAGTTGTTAAACTATAACATCCTATAAAGTGAAAAGCAATAACCCTGATTATTTTAAAACCTATCTTGATTTGGTTTGAGAACATGAATTCCTGACATACCTGATTCTCTACTTTTTCTTTCCTGGGTACTTTTGTTTTGTTTTTTTTTTGTCATGGCTCTTTTTTTTTTTTTTTTTTTTTATTTTATTATACTCTAAGTTTTAGGGTACATGTGCACATTGTGCAGGTTAGTTACATATGTATACATGTGCCATGCTGGTGCGCTGCACCCACTAATGTGTCATCTAGCATTAGGTATATCTCCCAATGCTATCCCTCCCCCCTCCCCCGACCCCACCACAGTCCCCAGAGTGTGATATTCCCCTTCCTGTGTCCATGTGATCTCATTGTTCAATTCCCACCTATGAGTGAGAATATGCGGTGTTTGGTTTTTTGTTCTTGCGATAGTTTACTGAGAATGATGGTTTCCAATTTCATCCATGTCCCTACAAAGGATATGAACTCATCATTTTTTATGGCTGCATAGTATTCCATGGTGTATATGTGCCACATTTTCTTAATCCAGTCTATCATTGTTGGACATTTGGGTTGGTTCCAAGTCTTTGCTATTGTGAATAGTGCCGCAATAAACATACGTGTGCATGTGTCTTTATAGCAGCATGATTTATACTCATTTGGGTATATACCCAGTAATGGGATGGCTGGGTCAAATGGTATTTCTAGTTCTAGATCCCTGAGGAATCGCCACACTGACTTCCACAATGGTTGAACTAGTTTACAGTCCCACCAACAGTGTAAAAGTGTTCCTATTTCTCCGCATCCTCTCCAGCACCTGTTGTTTCCTGACTTTTTAATGATTGCCATTCTAACTGGTGTGAGATGATATCTCATAGTGGTTTTGATTTGCATTTCTCTGATGGCCAGTGATGATGAGCATTTCTTCATGTGTTTTTTGGCTGCATAAATGTCTTCTTTTGAGAAGTGTCTGTTCATGTCCTTCGCCCACTTTTTGATGGGGTTGTTTGTTTTTTTCTTGTAAATTTGTTTGAGTTCATTGTAGATTCTGGATATTAGCCCTTTGTCAGATGAGTAGGTTGCGAAAATTTTCTCCCATGTTGTAGGTTGCCTGTTCACTCTGATGGTAGTTTCTTTTGCTGTGCAGAAGCTCTTTAGTTTAATTAGATCCCATTTGTCAATTTTGTCTTTTGTTGCCATTGCTTTTGGTGTTTTGGACATGAAGTCCTTGCCCACGCCTATGTCCTGAATGGTAATGCCTAGGTTTTCTTCTAGGGTTTTTATGGTTTTAGGTTTAACGTTTAAATCTTTAATCCATCTTGAATTGATTTTTGTATAAGGTGTAAGGAAGGGATCCAGTTTCAGCTTTCTACATATGGCTAGCCAGTTTTCCCAGCACCATTTATTAAATAGGGAATCCTTTCCCCATTGCTTGTTTTTCTCAGGTTTGTCAAAGATCAGATAGTTGTAGATATGCGGCATTATTTCTGAGGGCTCTGTTCTGTTCCATTGATCTATATCTCTGTTTTGGTACCAGTACCATGCTGTTTTGGTTACTGTAGCCTTGCAGTATAGTTTGAAGTCAGGTAGTGTGATGCCTCCAGCTTTGTTCTTTTGGCTTAGGATTGACTTGGCAATGCGGGCTCTTTTTTGGTTCCATATGAACTTTAAAGTAGTTTTTTCCAATTCTGTGAAGAAAGTCATTGGTAGCTTGATGGGGATGGCATTGAATCTGTAAATTACCTTGGGCAGTATGGCCATTTTCACGATATTGATTCTTCCTACCCATGAGCATGGAATGTTCTTCCATTTGTTTGTCTCCTCTTTTATTTCCTTGAGCAGTGGTTTGTAGTTCTCCTTGAAGAGGTCCTTCACATCCCTTGTAAGTTGGATTCCTAGGTATTTTATTCTCTTTGAAGCAATTGTGAATGGGAGTTCACCCATGATTTGGCTCTCTGTTTGTCTGTTGTTGGTGTATAAGAATGCTTGTGATTTTTGTACATTGATTTTGTATCCTGAGACTTTGCTGAAGTTGCTTATCAGCTTAAGGAGATTTTGGGCTGAGACAATGGGGTTTTCTAGATATACAATCATGTTGTCTGCAAACAGGGACAATTTGACTTCCTCTTTTCCTAATTGAATACCCTTTATTTCCTTCTCCTGCCTGATTGCCCTGGCCAGAACTTCCAACACTATGTTGAATAGGAGCGGTGAGAGAGGGCATCCCTGTCTTGCGCCGGTTTTCAAAGGGAATGCTTCCAGTTTTTGCCCATTCAGTATGATATTGGCTGTGGGTTTGTCATAGATAGCTCTTATTATTTTGAAATACGTCCCATCAATACCTAATTTATTGAGAGTTTTTAGCATGAAGGGTTGTTGAATCTTGTCAAAGGCTTTTTCTGCATCTATTGAGATAATCATGTGGTTTTTGTCTTTGGCTCTGTTTATATGCTGGATTACATTTATTGATTTGCGTATATTGAACCAGCCTTGCATCCCAGGGATGAAGCCCACTTGATCATGGTGGATAAGCTTTTTGATGTGCTGCTGGATTCGGTTTGCCAGTATTTTATTGAGGATTTTTGCATCAATGTTCATCAAGGATATTGGTCTAAAATTCTCTTTTTTGGTTGTGTCTCTGCCCGGCTTTGGTATCAGAATGATGCTGGCCTCATAAAATGAGTTAGGGAGGATTCCCTCTTTTTCTATTGATTGGAATAGTTTCAGAAGGAATGGTACCAGTTCCTCCATGTACCTCTGGTAGAATTCGGCTGTGAATCCATCTGGTCCTGGACTCTTTTTGGCTGGTAAACTATTGATTATTGCCACAATTTCAGAGCCTGTTATTGGTCTATTCAGAGATTCAACTTCTTCCTGGTTTAGTCTTGGGAGAGTGTATGTGTCGAGGAATGTATCCATTTCTTCTAGATTTTCTAGTTTATTTGCGTAGAAGTGTTTGTAGTATTCTCTGATGGTAGTTTGTATTTCTGTGGGATCGGTGGTGATATCCCCTTTATCATTTTTTATTGTGTCTATTTGATTCTTCTCTCTTTTTTTCTTTATTAGTCTTGCTAGCGGTCTATCAATTTTGTTGATCCTTTCAAAAAACCAGCTCCTGGATTCATTGATTTTTTGAAGGGTTTTTTGTGTCTCTATTTCCTTCAGTTCTGCTCTGATTTTAGTTATTTCTTGCCTTCTGCTAGCTTTTGAATGTGTTTGCTCTTGCTTTTCTAGTTCTTTTAATTGTGATGTTAGGGTGTCAATTTTGGATCTTTCCTGCTTTCTCTTGTAGGCATTTAGTGCTATAAATTTCCCTCTACACACTGCTTTGAATGCGTCCCAGAGATTCTGGTATGTGGTGTCTTTGTTCTCGTTGGTTTCAAAGAACATCTTTATTTCTGCCTTCATTTCGTTATGTACCCAGTAGTCATTCAGGAGCAGGTTGTTCAGTTTCCATGTAGTTGAGCGGCTTTGAGTGAGATTCTTAATCCTGAGTTCTAGTTTGATTGCACTGTGGTCTGAGAGATAGTTTGTTATAATTTCTGTTCTTTTACATTTGCTGAGGAGAGCTTTACTTCCAACTATGTGGTCAATTTTGGAATAGGTGTGGTGTGGTGCTGAAAAAAATGTATATTCTGTTGATTTGGGGTGGAGAGTTCTGTAGATGTCTATTAGGTCTGCTTGGTGCAGAGCTGAGTTCAATTCCTGGGTATCCTTGTTGACTTTCTGTCTCGTTGATCTGTCTAATGTTGACAGTGGGGTGTTAAAGTCTCCCATTATTAATGTGTGGGAGTCTAAGTCTCTTTGTAGGTCACTGAGGACTTGCTTTATGAATCTGGGTGCTCCTGTATTGGGTGCATAAATATTTAGGATAGTTAGCTCCTCTTGTTGAATTGATCCCTTTACCATTATGTAATGGCCTTCTTTGTCTCTTTTGATCTTTGTTGGTTTAAAGTCTGTTTTATCAGAGACTAGGATTGCAACCCCTGCCTTTTTTTGTTTTCCATTGGCTTGGTAGATCTTCCTCCATCCTTTTATTTTGAGCCTATGTGTGTCTCTGCACGTGAGATGGGTTTCCTGAATACAGCACACTGATGGGTCTTGACTCTTTATCCAACTTGCCAGTCTGTGTCTTTTAATTGCAGAATTTAGTCCATTTATATTTAAAGTTAATATTGTTATGTGTGAATTTGATCCTGTCATTATGATGTTAGCTGGTGATTTTGCTCATTAGTTGATGCAGTTTCTTCCTAGTCTCGATGGTCTTTACATTTTGGCATGATTTTGCAGCGGCTGGTACCGGTTGTTCCTTTCCATGTTTAGTGCTTCCTTCAGGAGCTCTTTTAGGGCAGGCCTGGTGGTGACAAAATCTCTCAACATTTGCTTGTCTATAAAGTATTTTATTTCTCCTTCACTTGTGAAGCTTAGTTTGGCTGGATATGAAATTCTGGGTTGAAAATTCTTTTCTTTAAGAATGTTGAATATTGGCCCCCACTCTCTTCTGGCTTGTAGAGTTTCTGCCGAGAGATCCGCTGTTAGTCTGATGGGCTTTCCTTTGAGGGTAACCCGACCTTTCTCTCTGGCTGCCCTTAACATTTTTTCCTTCATTTCAACTTTGGTGAATCTGACTGACAATTATGTGTCTTGGAGTTGCTCTTCTCGAGGAGTATCTTTGTGGCGTTCTCTGTATTTCCTGAATCTGAACGTTGGCCTGCCTTGCTAGATTGGGGAAGTTCTCCTGGATAATATCCTGCAGAGTGTTTTCCAACTTGGTTCCATTCTCCACATCACTTTCAGGTACACCAATCAGACGTAGATTTGGTCTTTTCACATAGTCCCATATTTCTTGGAGGCTTTGCTCATTTCTTTTTATTCTTTTTTCTCTAAACTTCCCTTCTCGCTTCATTTCATTCATTTCATCTTCCATTGCTGATACCCTTTCTTCCAGTTGATCGCATCGGCTCCTGAGGCTTCTGCATTCTTCACGTAGTTCTCGAGCCTTGGTTTTCAGCTCCATCAGCTCCTTTAAGCACTTCTCTGTATTGGTTATTCTAGTTATACATTCTTCTAAATTTTTTTCAAAGTTTTCAACTTCTTTGCCTTTGGTTTGAATGTCCTCCCGTAGCTCAGAGTAATTTGATCGTCTGAAGCCTTCTTCTCTCAGCTCGTCAAAATCATTCTCCATCCAGCTTTGTTCTGTTGCTGGTGAGGAACTGCGTTCCTTTGGAGGAGGAGAGGCGCTCTGCGTTTTAGAGTTTCCAGTTTTTCTGTTCTGTTTTTTCCCCATCTTTGTGGTTTTATCTACTTTTGGTCTTTGATGATGGTGATGTACAGATGGGTTTTCGGTGTAGATGTCCTTTCTGGTTGTTAGTTTTCCTTCTAACAGACAGGACCCTCAGCTGCAGGTCTGTTGGAATACCCTGCCGTGTGAGGTGTCAGTGTGCCTCTGCTGGGGGGTGCCTCCCAGTTAGGCTGCTCGGGGGTCAGGAGTCAGGGACCCACTTGAGGAGGCAGTCTGTCTGCCCGTTCTCAGATCTCCAGCTGCGTGCTGGGAGAACCACTGCTCTCTTCAAAGCTGTCAGACAGGGACACTTAAGTCTGCAGAGGTTACTGCTGTCTTTTTGTTTGTCTGTGCCCTGCCCCCAGAGGTGGAGCCTACAGAGGCAGGCAGGCCTCCTTGAGCTGTGGTGGGCTCCACCCAGTTCGAGCTTCCCGGCTGCTTTGTTTACCTAAGCAAGCCTGGGCAATGGCGGGCGCCCCTCCCCCAGCCTCGTTGCCGCCTTGCAGTTTGATCTCAGACTGCTGTGCTAGCAATCAGCGAGATTCCGTGGGCGTAGGACCCTCCGAGCCAGGTGTGGGATATAGTCTCGTGGTGCGCCGTTTCTTAAGCCGGTCTGAAAAGCGCAATATTCGGGTGGGAGTGACCCGATTTTCCAGGTGCGACCGTCACCCCTTTCTTTGACTCGGAAAGGGAACTCCCTGACCCCTTGCGCTTCCCAGGCGAGGCAATGCCTCGCCCTGCTTCGGCTCGCGCACGGTGCGCACACACACTGGCCTGCGCCCACTGTCTGGCACTCCCTAGAGAGATGAACCCGGTACCTCAGATGGAAATGCAGAAATCACCGTCTTCTGCGTCGCTCACGCTGGGAGCTGTAGACCGGAGCTGTTCCTATTCGGCCATCTTGGCTCCTCCCCCCTGTTTTGTTTTTTTAAGACAGGATCTCACTCTGTCACCCAGGCTGGAGTGCAGTGATGTGATCACAGTTCACTGCAGCCTCAACCTCCCGGGCCGAGGTGATCCTTCCACCTCAACCTCCTGAGTAACTGGAACTACAGGTGTACACCACCGTGCCCAGCTAATTTTTTATACTTTTAGTAGAGAGGGGGTTTTGCCATGTTGCTCAGGCTGGTCTCGAACTGGCTGCAATCTGCCTGCCTTGGCCTCCCAAAGTGTTGGGAACAGGCATGAGCCATGGCACCTGGACTCGTGGGTACTTTAACCAGGAACTTTTATGAACTTTGACAGGCCTAGGGGCAGTCTGACCCCTTGGACTAACACAACCTTGTAGGTGGGTTTCCACACAGACCTCCTCCTAATCAACCACCCCCCTCAAAAAAAAAAAAAAAACTTTAGAAGAGACTTAAAATTATATACTATGAGGAGCATTTGCTCAGTGACCTTTTAGGTTCTGCTGCCTGTCATTATGTTGTTTCTAGAGAGCAGATCATTGTTTTTTTGAAAGGGAAAAAGATGAAAATAAAGAGGAGATTCTATTGTCCTTTAATAATTACAGTTTTCTAAAGCAGGAAATTGGAACAATAAATCCTTGATAATCCAGGGGATGATTATTCAGTTTGGGTATTAGTCCATCTGCCTTGCATTTCTGCTCCTTTACCTTTTGTTTCCAGGGCTTCAGGGCTTCTGGATATTTCTTTCTTTCTTTTTTTTTTTTTTTTTTAGACAGAGTCTTGCTCTGTCACGAAGGCTGGAGTGAAGTGGCACCATCTTGCCTCACTGCAACCTTTGCCTCCTGGGTTCAAGTGACTCTCCTGCCTCAGCCTCCTGATTAGCTGGGACTACAGGCGTGAGCCACCATGCCCAGCTAATTTTTGTATTTATGTAGAGACAAGGTTTCGCAATGTTGGCCAGGCTGGTTTTGAACTCCTGACTCAAGTGATGCGCCTGCCTTGGCCTCCCAAAGTGCTGGGATTATAGGCGTGAGCCACTGTGCCTGGCCCATATTTCATCGCTTGTTAGAACAATCACCTGGTGATGTGTAGAGGAAGAGAAAACTAAATCTAGTCCATTTTTAGAACAGTCTTGTTCTGAGTGGAGAGAATAAATAGGTTGAAATCGACTGTGAATCCAAAAATCAGGTAACAGATCTGGTCACAGTGACTTATCCTGTAATCTCAGCACTCTGGGAGGCTGAGGCAGGCAGATCACTTGAGTCCAGGAGTTCGAGACCAGCCTGGGCAACAAGGTGAAACCCTGTCTCTACAAAAAATACAAAAATTAGCCGGGTGTGGTAGTGCACGCCTGTAGTTCCAACTATTTGGGAGGCTGAAGCAGGGGGATCACTTGAGCCCAGGAGGCTGAGGTTGCAGTGAGCCAAGATCACACCACTGTACTCCAGCCTGGGCACAGAGTGAGACTCTGTCTCAAAAAAAAAAAAAAAAAAAAAAAAATCCAACTCCGAAAGTGCCTAGCACAAGGACTGCACATAACAGGAATTTAGTTAAGTGAGGTTTTATAATCCACACAGCAGTTTTCTACTACTCTTTACCAGTGGTTCTCAGGGAGATTTTCCCCCAGTGGACATTTGGCAATGTCTGAAGAAGTTTTTGATTGTCACGACTTGGCAGTGATGCTGGCATCTAATGAGTAGAGGTTACAGTTGCTGCTAAACATCCTACAATGCACAGGGCAGTCCTCCATAACAAAGAATTATCTGGCCCAAAACGTCAGTAGTGCTGAGGTAGCAATACTCTGTTGTGGATTTTAAAAAGCATGTATACTATGTATTTTTAGTATAGTAGAGAGTAAGTTAAGTAATATTGTTGATCCCTCCTTGACTGTATTTAAAATTATTTCTTTGCAAATATGTTTTTACAGCTCTCCTTTCATTGCCTGTTTGTGTTTCCAGTCTAGGCAGATTTCCTCGGCTATGAATATTCTCCATCAGGACAAACATTTTAAAGTATTATCAGAACCTAAGGACTGGGATCTTGAGTACATGGAGACATTGATTTACATAAATTTAATTTGTCCCTAACTTTTAAGAGATTTGCATAAAATCAGGAATACCTTTCTAAGGGATATCACTTTACTTGGCCCCTCATCTTCTTTCCCCTTCTTTTTTTTAATTAATTGTTTTTGAGAGACAGGGTCTCACTCTGTCATCTAGGCTGGAGTACAGTGGCGTGATCATGGCTCACTGCAGCCTCCAACTCCTGGGTTCAAGAGAGCTTCCCGCCTCAGCCTTTCAAGTACCTGGACTACAAGCGCACACAGCTAATTTTTAAAATTCTTTTGTAGAGATGGAACCTCTCTATGCTGCCCAGGTTGATCTTCAACTCCTGGCCTCAAGTGATCCTACTGTCTCAGCCTCCCAAAGTGCTGGGATTATAGATGTGAGCCTATAATTAATATAATTAATATTTAATTTAATATTTAATATAATATTTAATATTTAAGAGGGTATGGTACCCTCTTAAATAGATACTAATATACATTTAAGCTAAGATTTTTTCTAGTCTTAGAGATGTTCCACTTGCTTCGAAATACTGCCTACAATGAAATAAACACTGCTTTTAAGAAAGATCTATAAATAAGAGGTTAATCCCCTCAAGAATTTAGACTATGACTAATTCCCTTCTTGTTATGTTCTTAACTGGACCCAGAGGGTAAGTCCTTAAGAACAGGACAAGATGTTTGACTTATTCTTTGTCCTGCCTCAACCAGGCCCACTCATCCGCTTGCCCAGTCACCAACTACCCTAAAATAACCTCTCCACCTCAAGGATCATACAAAATGTAAAATGGCAGCCCCAAAATAAGCGCTGACATGATCAGCATTACTAATAGCCAGGCAGAAAATCCAGTGTGTTAGATCAAACAGGCTGATCTGGTTGTGCTTCTTTTGTGTGTTAAAATACTGACAGACAACTGCCAAGCAAATTTGGGGATTAAGGCCGTCATTTGAACCTAGTCAGTAGCTGACTAACCTTAGGGATCTTTTATCAGACAGAACAACACATGGTCTGGCTAATGTTTTAAGTGTGGAAAAAGCGCTAAGGTAGAACAACCTAGACGTCTGCTATTGTCCAAAACATGCTTAACATTTCATTCAACCCACTGTGGCAATTCACGAAGTATTTGGAATATCCAAAAGGAGCCAGGGAAGTCTATCCAATAGAACTTTCTGTAATGAGGAAATGCTGCATACCTGCTGTGTCCAATTCAGTTAACCATGAGCTGCATGTGGCCACTGAGCATCTTTGAATGTGGCTCGTGTGACTGAATACATGAATTTTTAATTTAATTTTAATAGACACATGTACCTAGTGGCTATCATAATAGACAAGATCATCTAGGAAATAATAATGACTGATTATTCCACATCTTAATTGTAAATATCCTGATTCCTTTTTCTTGTGTCAAATATAAATATAAAGGCTGGGTGAGGTGGCTCATGCCTGTAATCCTAACACTTTGGGAGGCCAAGCGGGTGGATATCACCTGAGGTCAGGTGTTCGAGACCAGCCTGGCCAACATGGCGAAACTGCATCTCTGCTAAAAATACAAAAATTAGCCAGGCGTGGTGGCACATGCCTGTAATCCCAGTTACTCGGGAGGCTGAGGCAGGAGAATTGCTTGAATCCAGGAGGTGGAGAATGCAGTGAGCTGAGATTGCATCATTGCACTCTAGCCTGGGCGACAAGAGCAAAACTCCCATCTCAAAAAAAAAACAAAACAGAAATATATATATACACACACACACACACACACACACACACACACACACACACACACATATATATACATACACATATATATACACACATATATATACACACACACACATATAAATATAGAAAGAAGGGGGAAATTCTGTTTAATGCCCATAATTTTATGAGTCTAACATAATTGTTGTAAATTTGGTAAACTTTCCAGTCTTTTTCTATTATTTTTAGATGAACTAGATATTATTTTGTCTTATTTTATTTAGTTTTTTCACTTAACATTATGAGAGGAATATATTTCTGTACTACGAAATAATATGCCCAAGTTATCAAATCTGACAATGGCCAGTTTCTTAGATAATTGTGCCGTAGTTCATTTATTTCTTCTATTTTTAAAATTCTGGGTGTTTGCTTGCTTACTTGCTTGTATGGTTTTATGGTCACTATAAAACAATGCTATAGTAAACATATGAAAGCATGTTAATATTTCTCTTCTTTGGAATTTATTACCATGCCAAATGTTTGAGTTTTATGTAGGTAATGATTTAGATGGTGAACCATTTCACTACCACATATTCATTTTGAAAAGGTACTTTTTTAGTATACTTGTGAAAAATAGACTTTAAAGCTACCCCCCACACCCCATAAAATAAAGCCAAGACTCTTCTGTCTGCACCACAATTAATTCAGTAAATTATGAGATGGATTAATATTCCTTCCCATATAACAAAAAAAGTTACTGCTAAAATATAACCGCATTCAGGGCTGATGACACAGACCTTTGCTTTACAAACAGGGAATAAGTTCCCAGTAGTAAACTCTGCAAGTAAAATATTTTACATGTTCAGATCATCTCTAGAATCTATAAACATGAGAAAATTAACAGAAGTAAACGAGAAAAAAAAATCCACCCTGTTTTGTTTTGTTCTTTATATATATACAGAGTTATACATTGTGACAAGTCCAAACTATCCTTTTTATAATTGAAAGCAATATGAATACAGTGCAAGTAAACCTTCACACATCTTACAATTAGTAATTATCCAGAAGGTCTTGGATTAAGACATTTTATATTTTGCATACTGGTAAGCTGTCACATGATCTTTACATTTCTTTTTAAATAAATTCTATATTCTAATGACTCTGATCATCAAAAAGCAAAAGAACCCTACTGATAAAACAATAAATTTAAAACATAACATTTTAAACTAGAGCCTAAAAAAATCAAGTGTTCTCATTATTTGTAAGTTGGGTTTCAACTTCTGTTATATCATCCTTTGTCTGTTTGAATTAGATTTGTAATTGAGGGATTCAATGAACATGGACTAAATGAGCTTGTGCTACGTAAACATTGTGATACATTCAAAGCAGCTTTGTAATCTGCAAGTACAGTGAAAATCTAATACAAATGTTTTTAAAAGGTCTCTTAGCTCATCCTATATATGAAAAGTAGCCTTTAAAATTTGCCTGATGGAAAGAAATCCAAGACTTTTCTGTCTTTCTCTGGAACAGTAGATTTAATAATTTATGGTATGGATTTGTTTTTCCTTCACAGACAACAATAAAAATGTTTGGACTGATAAAATAACTGCATTTAGGACTTTTATTAGTGACACCAACTGGGAACACAGATCTTTGTCTTTGGAAATGGAACATAAGCCTCCAGATGGCAAATCACCAGGACTTTGTTCACAATGTGAATGAAGCATGTTGCCAGAAAGTCATTTCCAAAAAATCAATAGTGTTTGTACTGGAAATGTTTGAAAAATGCTCAGAAAACCATCAAGTCTATATGTACTTTGTGGATTATCTGGGGAAAATGTTTAAAACCTGACAGGCATTTCTCTGTCACGCAGTTAACTTCTTGCTTTCCTCACTCTTCCTGTCAATTCTTTACGAAATGCCACTAATTTCAGCATTAGTATGCACAATATATCGTTATATTCTGCTCAAATATATTAAGTAATTCTAGGCCAGGTGTGGTGGCTCACAACTGTAATCCCAGCACTTTGGGAGGCCAAGGCAGGCAGATCACCTGAGGTCAGGAGTTTGAGACCAGCCTGGCCAACATGGTGAAACCCCGTCTCTACTAAAAATACAAAAATTATCTGGGCATGGTGACGGGTGTCCGTAATCCCAGCTACTCAGGAGGCTGAGGCAGGAGAATCACTTGAACCCAGTAGGCAGAGGTTGCAGTGAGCCAAGATCGTACCACTACACTCCAGCCTTGGCGACAGAGCGAGACTCCATCTCAAAAATTAACAATAATAATAAAAGTAATTCCAGGGTTTTATGCAGATGGTAACCATTCTTCTTCCTACTGTGTTCTGTTGTTCATACGGACGCTGAAGAGCTGCTTGTAGTTTGCCTATGCTCGCCTGCTGTGCTAAGTGAATCCCAGGTTGTTAGGAGTTTCCAGTTTTCAGTTAACAGAATTCATAGCTTTATTTTTACGAATTTCAGGTGGTTTTCATGAGCCTATGCAAAAGTTTCTGGGACTGTGGGCTTGTAGCCCTGGATGACATTACAATACAATTGGGAAGCTGCTCATCTTCAGGTAAGACGGCAATCATTTTAGCTCTGTCTCTCTGACCTATACATACATTTCCTGTATCGCTGAGAATCACATACATTTCATCTGTGCTAGTCCATCCTTTGCTTTTGTTGACAAAGTGTCTCCTGCAGAGCTGTGTAGCAGGCTTTGAAATTTAGAAATGATGATTCCAGTGTAATATGTGTCTTTGTACATGTGACTTAACCCCTTTATCCTCATTTGGAAGGGAACTAGTGGTATCTACCTGAATATTGGGGATAATACATACATTTTCCACAAAACAGTGCTTTAAAAACAAATATCTTCTACTATAATTATTACTATTACTGTTGTTTTTGTTATCTTACATGAATGCAGATTTTCAAGCAATATTAATGAAATTTTTATTTCACAGATACTTGCTAAGCATGTAATTTAAAAATTTTAATAAACATTTTCTAAGTGAATTAAATGACAGTGGAACAATAGACCAAGCAATGATGATAGTAGCAAAATAAAGTCATGGTAGCTAGCTATGTGTCATACATTACGCCTAATGAGAAAATGGTGCATAACTCAATCCCAATCATTGATCTGTATCTGCTAATTACCATTGCATCCTACATCATAGGACATCCATTTCTTTGACACACAGGCAAATCGTGGTATCAGTCTGGTGCTGGAGAATAATCTCCATGTTTATTTAATTAAAAGACAATTTGTTCTTAGTCTCTTAATTTGCCAGGCACTGCAAGGACAACCCAGATAAAAATCGTTCCACTCAAGGCATAGAAGAAAGAATGAGGTTTCATTAACCAGTACTGTGTGTAAAATAAAATGAAGTAAAACAGTGATCACAAAAGAGACATATGAAACAAGCTATTTATTAGAAAAATTTGGCTAAGAATCTGGATATAGGGAGGTACAACCAAGTTTAGTCAAAGGAAAAGTCCCCAATAAATTGGGAAGAAGCACCATTCTAATAATTATGAATGTTATTGAAGATAGCATTCAAAGACATAAACATTGGATTTGGGAAAAGGAAAATAAACCTCTGGGTGGCAAAATAAGTTCTAAAATTTAATTATTGAGAACTTCACATTAAAAATGATCACTTTACATATACCATCTCATTTAATCCTCACAGACCCATGAAGTGACTACCATCAATATTCCCACATTAGAGATAAGAACTCTAAGGCACAGAGAAGTGAAGTCATTTGTTCCACACAGCTATGCCTCCAGGAGTCCATTTAGCACTCTCACATTCTCCCCTACCTACAAAGCAACTGTGGAGTTGTTATGAGGATACCCTTCACTCATCCAGGATTTCTGAAGAAAGTGCCTGCATTATGAAATTTTATTATTTTCCATATTTTCATAAAGGCAATATACCTATAATTTCCAGAGCTTTATAAAAAGAAATTCACAAAAATTCACAAGTCAGAGAAAGTTTTTTTCTCAAAGTAGCCCAGTATTTTAGATCTGTATATCTGATTGTTCTCTATGTCTGTGGCAGGACCCGCAGTGGAATGCAGCCTCTAGCTGGAAGCAGTGGCTCCGTGTAGGTGGGCCACCAGTGGGGGCTGCCTCTCCATCGCATGGCATATGGCCAGACAACATTCATACATGCAGAGTGGGCTGCTAGCAACACAGAGTCATTGAAAGAGTCTCAGTGATTGCAACATCTGCTATTTTCTTGCAGAGAAACTTCCACCTCCACCTGGAGAGTGTACTTTCGAGCAAGATGAATGTACATTTACTCAGGAGAAAAGAAACCGGAGCAGCTGGCACAGGAGGAGGGGAGAAACTCCCACTTCCTACACAGGACCAAAGGGAGATCACACTACTGGGGTAGGTGAGTTATGCCACGTGGTGCTGTTTCCTAAGGAAAGCTTCTAAAATAGCATTCTAGGAATCGTTTACTGCATTTTGAAATGTGCAAAATTATGTCTTGTGTCTAGAATGAAATGCACTTGTGATTCTACACACACAGGATGATTTGATATGGGCATTGAATATCTCATCCTTTCTGTTTATTACATTGCTTATGTACATTGCTGCAGCAAGGATCTAACAGGGCTTACAAAGTTCTGCACACAAAGAATAGAAGTAAGTTAAAAGGTCAAAGAGAGGGACAAAGTAGGGGAAAAAATGGTAATCTAAATTGGAGCCAGGGCCGAGGCCTAATATACAAAATATATTGGCAGACAAAGGAAGAGGCATACAGGTTTGACTCCAAGCTTTCAGTAGCCAAAACGCACCTGTAAAACATGATTCACAGAATGAGCAGTCCACGTGGGTGGGCTATAAGCAAGGATGGGGTGCATTTTCTGTAGAAAATGTATAAACTGCAATAAAACAGAGTAAGAGTTCATCTACTTCATATTACCAACATGTATCAGCAATTGTAAACATTGTCAGGGACAAAATATGTCCCGTAGGCCATGTGTGGTGGCTCACTCCTGTAATCCCAGCACTTTGGGAGGCCAAGGTGAGAGGATTACTTGAGTCTAGGAGTTCAAGACCAGCCTAGACAACATAGTGAGACTCTATCTTGACAATTTTTTTTTTAATTTAGCCAGCTGTGGTGGTGTGCACCTGTGGTCACAGCTACTTGGAAGGCTGAGGCAGGAGGATTGCTTGAGCCCAGGAGGTCAGGGCTACAGTGAGCCATGTTCATGCCATTGCACCCAGCTTGGGTGACAGAGCAAGGCCCTGTCTCGAAAAAAATAAATAATAAATTAAAAAGTACCTTCCATAGAATGGATCTTTCTCACTCACACCCCCATTCCATTTGGTATACTAACTGAATAAAAGCACAACACTTGGTCCAGAGAAGCAGAACTACCCCTGATACTAAGCTCATAGAGATATTTCCTCATGAATTCTCCTAGAGAAACCATTATGATAGTAAATATGAGGGTAATTTGCATTGTGCTGTTTCTTATGGTCTAACTTGGGATATTTAATCTTTTGGCTTCTCTGGGCCACATTGGAAGAAGAATTGTCTTGGGCCACACATAAAATACACTAACGCTAATGACAGCTGATGAGCTAAAAAAAATTGCAAAAAAAATTCTCATAATGTTTTAAGAAAGTTTACAAATTTGTGTTAGGCCATATTCAAAGCTGTTCTGGGCCACATGCAACCTGTGGGCTGCAGTTTGGACAAGCTTGATCTAACTCAAGATAAGCCTATGGAATAATTACCACAGAACCACCTCCAGTAAAACCTGTTTAATTGGCTAAACATGGTAGAATGTAATAATGAACAGCTTTATTTTTTCTATCATTCTTCAAACATAAAGATCCTCTTTTCCCCATGCCTTGGCAAATCCCTTAGCTTCCCAGTCCTGTTGAGACATTAGAACAATTAGATATTCAGGTATGTCAAAAGTCCAGTTCAAATCAAAACTTCCATTTCTCATTCAACTGAATCTTCTCTCTTTCCCTCAGCTTGGGCCTGACTCATAGTTTGGAAGGATAAAGGAAGAAACAGTCTATTTTTTCATTTTCTTTGTTTTACCTCCCCTCCTGCCCCTCATCTTCATGACTTTTTAATCAGGGAAGGTGGAAGATGGATTAAAAGAAAGGAACTTTAAAAATATTTGGTGCTATTTAAAGTGATCTCTTAGCTATTGAATGTCCTTTGTTATGACAGATGTCTAAATGCTGGCTCTTTCAGGAGCCTCTGCATCTTACCATTTCTGGCAATGTTCTCACTGGCTAACCCTCTGAGACCACCCGCTTCCCTTAGTACTTGCACTACAGAATACAACCCACATAGATTTTTCTGTTTGGGTTCCTCCTGGAAATTTTTCCTTGGGTTCTTTCTAGAACAGTTGTTTCCAGCCACCTTGCTAGTGAGTGTCCATTTGGCCTCAATAGTGATGCACTCCTGCCTAAGAAGATATGCAGCTTGGTCCTACTGCTGACCTCTTTTCTTGCTGCTTCAGCAGATTCTGGGACAATGTTGCTTTGGTAAAGGATGCTGTTGAAGAGATTTAGCATTGGCCCAAAGGCAGACCAGATGCTCACTTTCAGCATTGAGTGAAGGATGCTAAGGTGGTTCCTTATGTGTGAAGCTATCTCTGGAAAGATATCAGGATGTTAAAAATATAACTAGAAAGGCCTATATGTATTAGGACTATTCTAAAAGCTTATAACAGAAAATACAACTCAAACTGACTTAAGTGAAAAGAAAATCCTTTTTTGGACTTTGTTACAGAAAGAGACTACTGTGGGGTTAGCTTCAGGCACAGCTTGATGCAGGGATTAAAACTGTGTCCTCAGGAGCCAGTTTCTCTCTCTCTTTCTCTTTCTACCTCTTTGAGCTAGTTTTTCTGGGTGGGCTCCAATCTAGACAGGATCTCCTGTCATGGCAACACAGTGGCTGTAGCAACTGCAGTCTCATGGGCCTTTCAACATTGAATCTAGCGGAAAGTGAAAACTCAGACAAAAATACCCAAACTGAATCTCATTGGCTCTGATTGGAAATGTCTTGAGGGCATAGTACTATAAAGGTCATTTTTGATTCCCCACAGAATTTAGTATTCTGCCTTATACACAATAGTTGCTCAAAAATGCCTATGGAATGAATGAATGAATGAATGCACAAATGAATAAATGAATCTATAAACCTTCACTGACACATTTAATAATAACTAACCAATTAATTAGTGAGACCCTAGAAAATGGGATGGTGGAAAGGTATCTATTTATTGCAAGAGGATTGAAGTCAAGAATGAATCAGTTTTAGCTAGAGTCTATTGTAGTCTAGATGTTATGTGTATGTGTATTTTTCTTGAGAAGGTTGATAGTTTTTCTTCCTTTTGTCAGGTATAGCAGTAAGAGATCTAATAAGAGGTACAACCAAAGAGAACTATGTTATGGTAGACTACTACAGGGAATTCTGTGGGTAATGAAGACTGTGGAATGCCTTAGACATGGAAGAGAAGACATAGAAAAATAGCACTGAAGGGAAGGAGTCCCTGAAAAGGGCAAGGAGAGACACCAGGCCAGGTTATAACAAACCCAGGAACTTAGGGCATCAGGACAACCTAAGGTTTCCCATTCACTAAGTAAGGTTCCCATTCACCTTGAGAAAGTTACTTAAAATCTCTAAGTCTCAGTTCTGTCATCTAGAAAATGAGAATAATCATAACCACTTACCTATTTTCCTAACTTCACAGGGTGGTTGAATTTAAAAACTGAAAGGCTTTGGGATTAGACTGCCTAGGTTCAAATCTCAGTTCTACCTTTAACCTCTCTAAGCCTATTTTCTTTATCTTTGTATTAAGAATAATTAATACCTACCTCACAGACTGTGGTGAGGTTTAAATGAAACAAGATATAAAACATACTTAGAATAAGACCTGGCATATGACAATTAATTATTGCTCTATTATTCATTTACTCCTTCATTCAGCAAATAGCTATTGAGTGTCTACTATGTGCCAGGTACTGTTTTAGGTACTCATGAAACACAGATGAACAAAACAGACAAGCATTTACCCTCACGGAACTTCTAGTAGAGGAGACAGACAAGAAATATTAAGCTTAATTATAATTATGCAGTATTTTAAAAGGCGATAATTGCTACAGAAATAAAAATGGAGCAGGTGAGGGAGTTAGGGAATCGAGAGGAGAATGTGGGTGGAGTTAACTAATGTAAATAGAAGAGTCACAACGAAGCCCATTGGAAGGTAGCCTTGAAAAGAGTTGAGGTAGCTCACCAAGAGCATATCTGGAAAGCAATGTTCCAGGTAGAGGGGACAGCCATTGCAAAGCCCCATAAGTGAAAGCATGCTCAGTGTGTCCTAGGAACAGCAAGGCGGCTGGTTTAGCTATAGCCTAGTGAGCTAGGGAGACAGTGCTAGGAAATGACCCAGAGAAATAATGGTAGGCCAGCTCATGGAGGACCTTGTAATTAATTAGAAGGGCTTTGGATTTTTTTTTTTTTTTCCGAGATAGAGTCTTGCTGTGTCGCCCAGGCTGGAGTGCTGTGGTGTGATCTCAGCTCACTGCAACTTCCACCTCCCGGGTTCAAGCAATTCTCCCTGCCTCAGGCTCCCGACTAGCTGGGATTACAGGTGCCCGCCACCATGCTCACTCATTTTTGTATTTTTTAGTAGAGACAGGGTTTTGCCGTGTTGGTCAGACTGGTCTTGAACTCCTGACCTCAGGTGATCCATCCACCTTGGCCTCCCAAAGTGCTGGGATTATAGGCATGAGCCACTGTGCCCAGCCAGGACTTTGGATTTTACTTTATTTCAAATGGAAAGTCACTAGAGAGTGTTGAACTTAGGAGAGAAGCGATCTGATCTAATTTTATAAGGATTGCTCTGGCTACTGTGTTGAGGAAAGACTAGGCGTGCAAATGAAGCAAGGGTGAAATCAAAGAGCCCTGTTAGAGGCTACTGCACATAACCCAGGTGAACAATGATGGTAAATTTGACTATGATAGTGGATTTGACTATGATGGCACATTTGACCAGCAACCATGGATTGAACTGTGTATTAGCAATGAGGGTGGTGATAAGTGGTCAAATCCTGGATATATTTTGAAAGCCAAGCCACAGAATTTCATGATGGATTAGATGAGTATAAGAGAAAGAGCAACGTTCTGAGTAGCCTGATAAAACCTTGCTTGTGTTCAAGAAACCCTTATTCTACTGAAAAATGGCAAAGTGTAAGGGTAGTGATGCTAGCATATTGTTATAATTGTCTTATTTTATTATTCCTTGTTAATCTCTTACTTGGCCTAATTTATAAATTAAACTTCATCATAAGTATGTATGTATAGGAAAAAATATATAGTATACATAGGGTTCAGTAGTATCAGCAGTTTCAGGCATCCACCAGGGATCTTAGAACATATCCCTCAAGGATAAGGGGGAACTACTGTAGTTTGCCAGGGCTTCCATAACAAAATATCCCAGACTGGGTGGCTTAAACATTAGAAATTTGTTTTCTCACAGGTCTGGCAGCTTAAAGTCCAAGATCAAGATGTCGGTAGGGTTGGTTCCTTCTGAAATTTCTCTCCTTGGCTTGCAGATGGCTGCCTTCTTGCTTCACATGGCCTTTCCTCTGTGCCAGTGCACCCCCGATATGTATCTTCTTGTAAGTTCACCAGTCATAATGAATTACAGCCCACCCTAACAATCCCATTGTGACTTAATTACCTCCTAAAAGGTTCTATCTCCAAATACAGTCACATTCTAGTACGTGGGTTAGGGCTTCAACATACCTCTTTGGAGAAGACACAATTGAACCCACTCCCAGGATTTAGGGCAATGGGTTGAACATTGAAGGAACAGGGTAAACTCTTAAGTTAAATGGCTGACAACCAAGCCCTGTCCTGCTCCTCATGTCATTATGCTAAAATAATGTTATAGTCTGAGCTTGCTTGACTAGTAGACCATGTCCTACCTTCTCCTCATAAATACACAGTCTATGAAAATCTAACAAAAGCACATATAGTAG
Organism: Homo sapiens; assembly: GCF_000001405.40. Taxonomy (NCBI): domain Eukaryota; kingdom Metazoa; phylum Chordata; class Mammalia; order Primates; family Hominidae; genus Homo; species Homo sapiens. The sequence continues at coordinate 158,230 of NW_003315930.1, forward strand.
ATATTAAATTGCTCCTAATTCTACTCCTGTATTTACATTATTTCTGGGTTATGTGGACACACTTTAGCTAACATAGTATTGCTTTGTCTAAAGAAAATAATTTGGTTGTGTTTGCTTTGTCTTCTTAAAAACTTTGAAAGATGCTTCAGCTGCCTCGGGTTATACTTCATAGCAAAAATAGAGTGCATGTTATTATATGAATATATTGTGGAAAATTTTGAATGCACAAACTTAGTGTGTTCAACATTTATTTTGAGTGAATATTTGACATATTAAATAAAACTCTCTGGTGCACAACACAGAAAATTCTGATTTTTAAAGTAAATTTTTTCTAGGGCCTGCCTTCTTTATTCTCTGTTTCATTTGCTTCAATATAGATTTTCAAAAATTTCTCAAGACACCTTCCACTTTTCTAACTAACTCTTTTACCACTTATATCTTTTTATTCCCATGTACAACAATGTAAATAAGAAAAACAAGTTTTGCTACACTGTGCCCAGGGTACCTACAAATATAGCATTAGGTTGAAGGTGTTTTGTTCTTGTTCTTGAAATTACTTTAATAACTAATTTTCTAGGGAAATATAATATCAGTGATTATTTACAGTAGTTCCCCCTTATCTGCAGGGCATATGTTCCTCGATGCCTAGTGGATGCCTGAAACCAAAGGCAGTATTAAACCCTATATACAATATATTTTTCTCATACATACATACCTATAATAAAGCTTAATCTATAAATTAGGCACAATAAGACACTAACAATGACCAATAATAGAATAATTACAATATATTGTTCTCAATTTCACAGACAGAAGATTTGTTCCTACTGTAGATCTCAGCAACCTCAGATTTTTCCTTTCCTTGTTAAGTCACAACCTTTCACCTTTTCACTTGAAGCACTTTATGGCTTCTCTTTGCCATATCTAAACTGTCAGCATCACTACTCTTGCACTTTGGGGCCATAATTAAATAAAATAAAGGTTACTTGGACACAAGATCTGTGATACTGTGACAGTCAGTCTGATAACAAAGATGGCTAAGTGACTCACAGGCAGAGAGTGTAGACAGCATGGAGACATTGGACAAAGAGATGATTTGTGTTCTGCTTGGGACAGAGTGGAACAGTGGAAGATTTCATCATGCTACTCACAACAGAACATAGTTTAAAACTTATGAATTGTTTATTTCTGGAACTTTCCATGTAATATTTTTGGGCCACAGCTGACTGTGGGTAACCGAAACCATGGAAGGCAAAAACAGATAAAGGGGGCACTACTATATTGGACATTTACCACGTGTAGGCACTGCGCTAGGAACCTCAACATCCTTTCCACAACCTGTAAGGTAAGTGAAAGTTCCCACGTTTTGCAGGAGGAAGCTGAAGTTTAGGGAAGTTAAGTGCCTTTCCAGGGCCAGCACTTACTGGTGGAGCAGTAACTGGTGGAGCAAAGACTTAATCTCACATTTGTCTGGTTCTAATGGCTATATATTCTGCCTACACTGCCTCACTAGGGTTTCCAAACCTACATGCTACTAAGAGACCACACATGGCCTGGAACAGCTGTGACAACTTATATGTGAAAAGCACAGTTTTTCATAAACCAAAGACCCTTCACACCAAAGCAGAGTGTCTTCTCCTAGAAAATACAATGATTGGTATTTTGGAACATTCCTAGAAATTGATCCAGCAGAAAACATCTAAACTTTTTCTGATCTATTTCTAGTGTCTGTATAACAATGTTGTCAGTGTAACCCCAGGGCTGTAGGCCACACACTTATTATGTATCCTACACCCCACAAAAGAGTGGTTTTCCTTTGTCCTAGCCTCTAATGGTGTGAGCTCAATGTGGCTGATGTATTGGCACTCAGATTGCAATGTGACAAGGGTTACTGTCTCAATCCATTTTGTGCTGCTATAACAGAATGGCTGAACTGAGCAATTTATATAGAATGGAAACTTATATCCTTACAGTTCTAGGGGCTGCAAAGTCTAAGATCAAGGTTCTGATATCTAGTGAGAGCCATCTTGCTACATCATCCCATGGTGGAAGGGGCAGAGAGAGGGTAAGGGAAAGAGCAAGAGGGAACCAAACTCATCCTTTAACAAGGAACCTACTCCCATGATAATGGCATTAATCCATTAACAAGGGCAGTGCCCCCATGACCCAAACATCTCCCATTAAGCCCTACCTTTCGACACCACTGCATTGGGGAATCAAGTTTCCAACTCATGAGTTTTGGGGGATACATCCAAACCATGGCAGTTACCCATTCAAAAATTAATGCATAAACAAACAAAGGTTTCTCTAAAACATTCACTTATTTGTTAAAACAACCAGCATCATAAGCTACATGTATATAAGAATTAAACCTCTCATAACTGAAAGCAATCAGAAATGGTATATAGTCCAGGATCCCTAGGATCTTGTTCTATTCCATATTTCCTGAATACCCACTATGCATTATACATCAAATAATTGCCCCAGAGTTATAATAAGTCAAGTAATAAGGGTTAAGTCCTAGAGGTAATGAAACCACACAGCTAGCTCTCCTTGTGGGTATCTGAGTGTGAGTTCATCAAGAATGGTAGGGAGGAAGGAAGCATTCCAGGATGAGGGAATGGCTGGTGTGAAGTATGGAGCCATTAAACAGTGTGGCAGCTTTCGAAGAACTGTAAGTGACTAGGCTGGCATGTAGAATATTGTCACCCAGGATTACCAACAAAGTGGAGTCTAAAATATAGGCTTTTTTGTGCAATATTGGCAGTTTTGTTTTAATATTTCCAAAGATTATCAACTTACAACCTTGAGACTAAGAACACTTATCATAGGAAACATTGGTTAAGACGTTATTGTAAAAAACGTATTTACTTAAAATTAAATGTACCCACCAACTTTATCAAAATTACCTGTAACTAAGACATTGGAGATCTATCTCTAGCTAACATAACAATACTAAAATGAGGTGGGGCCGGGCATGGTGGCTCACGCTTGTAATCCCAGCACTTTGGGAGGCTGAGGCAGGCGGATCACGAGGTCAGGAGATCGAGACTATCCTGGCTAACACGGTGAAACCTCGTCTCTACTAAAAACACACACACACACACACAAAATTAGCTGGGTGTGGTGGCGGGTGCCTGTAGTCCCAGCTACTTGGAAGACTGAGGCAGGAGAATGGCGTGAACCCGGAAGGCGGAGCTTGCAGTGAGCCGAGATCATGCCACTGCACTCCAGCCTGGGCAACAGAGCAAGACTCCGTCTCAAAAAAAATAAATAAATAAATAAATAAAAATAAAATAAAATAAGGCATAGATTCCCTTAAAATTAGGAACATAACTAAGGCATTCCTTTCTACAAATGAAAAAAAAAAAAAACAAAAGCTTTAAAATCTAGTGCATAAACTCAATATTACATTTCAAACTCTTAGCCAGAAGATATATGCTCCTATAAAATTCCAGCCAGGATGGGTATAGTGTGTAGAAAGATGAAGAAAAATAAATGAATTATAGACCTCTTTTTCTAGCAAAAAAAAAATACACTAGAGATCACTGTGCACTCGCTACAAAACACCTGAAAATGCAAGAAAAAAAGGATAAATGGATAAAATATTCCTTTTTTTTTTTTACATTAATTTCTGGGATACAAGTGCAGAACATGCAGGTTTGTTACACAGGTATACATGTGTGATGGTGCTTTGCCAGACCTATCATCCCAACATCTAGGTTTTAAGCCCTGCATGCATTAGATATTTGTCCCCCCACCCCCCAACAGGCCCCGGTGTGTGATGCTCCCCTCCCTGTGTCCACGTGTTATCATTGTTCAACTCCCACTTATGAGTGAGAACATGCAGTGTTTGGTTTTCTGTTCCTGTGTTAGTCTGCTGAGAATGATGCTTTCCAGCTTCATCCATGTCCCTCCAAAGGACATGAACTCATTCTTTTTTATGGCTGCATAGTATTTCATGGGGTATATGTGCCACATTTTCTTTATCCAGTCTATCACTGATGGGCATTTTGGTTGGTTCCAAGTCTTTGCTATTGTAAATAGTGCTGCAGTAAACATATGTGTGCATGTGTCTTTACAGTAGAATGATTTATAATCCTTTGGGTATATACCCAGTAACGGGATTGTTGGGTCAAATGGTATTTCTGGTTCTAGATCCTTGAAGAATTGCCACACTGTCTCCCACAATGGTTGAACTAATTTACACTCCCACCAACAGTGTAAAAGCATTCCTATTTTTCCACATCCTCTCTCTACATCTGTTGTTTTCTGACTTTTTAATGATTGCCATTCTAACTGGCATGAGATGGTATCTCATTGTGTTTTTGATTTGCATTTCTCTAATGACCAGTGATGATGAGCTTTTTTTCATGTTTGTTGGCTGCATAAACATCTTCTTTTGAGAAGTGTCTGTTCATATCCTTCGGCCACTTTTTGATGGGGGTTGGTTTTTTCTTGTAAATTTGTTTAAGTTCACTGTACATTCCAGATATTAGACCTTTGTCAGATTGATAGATTGCAAAACTTTTCTCCTATTCTGTAGGAATACTCTGATGGCAGTTTCTTTTGCTGTGCAGAAGCTCTTTAGTTTAATCAGATCACATTTGTCAATTTTGGCTTTTGCTGCAATTGCTTTTGATATTTTAGTCATGAAGTCTTTGCCCATGTCTATGTCCTGAATGGTATTGCCTAGGTTTTCTTCATGGTTTTTATGGTTTTAGGTTTTATACTTAAGTCTTTAATCCAACTTGAGTTAATTTTGTATAAGGTGTAAGGAAGGGGTCCAGTTTCAGTTTTCTGCATATGGCTAGCCAGTTTTCCCAGCAACATTTATTACATAGAGAATCCTTTCCCCATTGCTTGTTTTTATCAGGTTTGTCAAAGATCATATGGTTGCAGATGTGTGGTGTTATTTCTGAGGCCTCTGTTCTGTTCCATTGGTCTATATGTCTGTTTTGGCACCAGTACCATGCTGTTTTGGTTACTGTAGCCTTGTAGTATAGTCTGAAGTCAGGTAACGTGATGCCTCCAGCTTTGTTCTTTTTGCTTAGGATAGTCTTGGCTATACAGGCTCTTTTTTGGTTCCATATGAAATTTAAAGTAGTTTTTTCTAATTCTGTGAAGAACGTCAATGGTAGCTTGATGGGAATAGCATTGAATCTATAAATTACTTTGGGCAGTATGGCCATTTTCATGATATTGATTCTTCCTATTGATAAGCATGGAATTTTTTTTCCATTTGTTTGTGTCCTCTCTTATTTTTCTTGAGCACTGGTTTGTAGTTCTTTTTGAAGAGGTCCTTCACATCCCTTGTAAGTTGTATTCCTTGGTATTTTATTTTCTTTGTAGCTATTGTGAATGGGAAGTTCACTCATTATTTGGCTCTCTGCTTGTCTATTATTGGTGTATAGGGATGCTTGTGATTTTTGCACATTGATTTTGTATCCAGAGACTTTGCTGAAGTTGATTATCAGCTTAAGGAGTTTTTGGGCTGAGACAATGGGGTTTTCTAAATATACAATCATGTCATCTGCAAAAAGAGACAATTTGACTTCCTCTCTTCCTATTTGAGTACCTTTTATTTCTTTCTCTTGCCTGATTGCCCTGGACAGAACTTCCAATACTATGTTGAATAGGAATGGTGAGAGAGGGTATCCTTGTCTTTGCCAGTTTTCAAAGGGAATGCTTCCAGCTTTTCCCCATTCGGTATGATATTGGCTATGGGTTTGTCATAAATAGCTCTTATTATTTTGAGGTATCTCACATGAACACCTAGTTTATTGAGAGTTTTTAGCATGAAGCGGTGTTGAATTTTATCGAAGGCCTTTTCTGCATCTATTGAGATAATCATGTGGTTTTTGTCATTGGTTCTGTTTATGTGATGGATTACATTTATTGATTTGTGTATGTCGAACCAGCCTTGTATCCCAGGGATGAAGCCGACTTGATTGTGGTGGATAAGCTTTTTGATGTGCTGCTGGATTCGGTTGGTCAGTATTTTATTGAGGATTTTTGCATTGATGTTCATCAGGGACATTGGCCTGAAATTTTCTTTTTTTGTTGTGTCTCTGCCAGGTTTTGGTGTCAGAATGATGCCGGCCTCATAAAATGAATTAGGGAGGAGTCTCTCTTTTTCTATTGCTTGGAATAATTTCAGAAGGAATGGTACCAGCTCCTCTTTGTACCTCTGGTAGAATTTGGCTGTGAATCCATCTGGTCCTGGGCTTTTTTTGGTTGGTAGGCTATTAATTACTGCCTTAATTTCAGAACTTGTTATTGGTCTATTCAGGGATTCTACTTCTTCCTGATTTAGTCTTGGGAGGGTGTATGTGTCCAGGAATTTATCCATTTCTTCTAGATTTTCTAGTTTATTTTCATAGAGGTGTTTATAGTATTCTCTGATGGTAGTTTGTATTTCTGTAGGATCAGTTGTGATATTCCCTTTATCATTTTTTATTGCATCTATTTGATTCTTCTCTGTTCTTTTTTATTAGTCTGAGCGGTCTATCTATTTTATTGATCTTTTTAAAAAACCAGCTCCTGGATTCACTGATTTTTTTGAAGGGACTTTCATGTCTCTATCTCCTTCAGCTCTGCTCTGATCTTCATTATTTCTTGTCTTCTAGCTTTTGAATTTGTTTGCTCTTGCTTGTCTAGTTCTTTTAATTGTGATGTTAGGGTGTCGATTTTAGATCTTTCCTGCTTTCTCCTTTGGGCATTTAGTGCTATACATTTCCCTCTAATGCTGCTTTGGCTGTGTCCCAGAGATTCTGGTACATTGTGTCTTTGTTCTCATTGGTTTCAAAACACATCTTTATTTCTGCTTTCATTTTGTTGTTTTCCCAGTAGTCATTCAGGAGCGGGTTGTTCAGTTTCCATGTAGTTGTGCAGTTTTGAGTGGGTTTCCTAATCCTGAGTCCTAATTTGATTGCACTGTGGTCTGAAAGACTGTTTGTTATGATTTCTGTTCTTTTGCATTTACTGAGGAGTGTTTTACTTCCAATTATGTGGTCAATTTTAGAATAAGTGCGATGTGTTGCTGAGAAGAATGTATATTCTCCTGATTTGGGGTGGAGAGTTCTGTAGATATCTATTAGGTCCGCTTGGTCCAGAGCTGAGTTCAAGTCCTGGATATCCTTGTTAATTTTCTGTCTCATTGATCTAATACTGACAATGGGGTGTTAAAGTCTTCCACTATTACTGTGTGTGAGTCTAAGTCTCTTTGTATGTCTTTAGGAACTTGCTTTATGAATCTGGGTACTCCTGTATTTGGTGCATATATATTTAGGATAGTTAGCTCTTCTTGTTGCATTGATCCCTTTACCATTATGTAATGGCCTTCTTTGTCTGTTTTGATCTTTGTTGGTTTAAAGTCTGTTTTATCAGAGACTAGGATTGCAACCCTTGCTTTTTTTTTCTCTTTGCATTTGCTTGGTAAATATTCCTCCATCTTTTTATTTTGAGCCTATGTGTGTCTTTGCATGTGAGATGAGTCTCCTGAATACAGCACACTGATGGGTCTTGACTCTATCCAATTTGCCAGTCTGTGTCTTTTAATTGGGGCATTTAGCCCGTTTACATTTAAGATTAATATTGTTATTTGATTCTGTCATTATGTGAATTTGATTCTGTCATTGTGTGAATTTGATTCTGTCATTATGATGGTAGCTGGTTATTGTGGCTGTTACTTGATGTAGTTTCTTCATAGTGTTGATGTTCTTTACAATTTGGTACGTATTTGCAGTAGCTGGTACTGGTTTTTCCTTTCCATATTTAGTGCTTCCTTCAGGAGCTCTTGTAGGGCAAGCCTGGTGGTGACGAAATCCTTCAGCATTTGCTTGTCTGTAAAGGATTTTAATTCTCCTTCACTTATGAAGCTTAGTTTGGCTGGATATGAAATTCTGGGTTGAAAATTCTTTTCTTTAAGAATGTTGCATATTGGTCCCTACTCTCTTCTGGCTTGTAGGGTTTCTGCAGAGAGATCCACTGTTAGTCTGATGGGCTTCCCTTTCTAAGAAACCTGACCTTTCTCTGTGGCTGCCTTTAACATTTTTTCTTTCATTTCAACCTTGGAGAATCTGATGATTATGTGTCTTCATGTTGCTCTTCTCATGGAGTATCTTAGTGGTGTTTTCTGTATTTCCTGAATTTGAATGTTGGCCTGTCTTGCTAGGTTGGGGAAGTTCTCCTGGATAATACCATGAAGTATGTTTTCCAACTTGGTTCCATTCTTCCCCTCACTTTCAGGTACACCAATCAGTCATAGATTTGGTCTTTTCACATAGTCCCATATTTCTTGGAGGCTTTGATCATCTTTTTCATTTTTTTTCTCTAATCTTGTCTTTATGCCTTATTTCAGTAAGTTGATCCTCAATTTCTGATATTCTTTCTTCTGCTTGATTGATTTGGCTATTGATACTTGTGTATGCTTCACAGAGTTCTCATGCTGTGTTTTTCAGCTCCATCAGGTCATTTATGTTCTTCTTTAAACTGGTTATTCTAGTTAGCAGTTCCTGTAACCTTTTATCAAGGTTCTCGGCTTCCTTGCATTGGGTTAGAACATGCTCCTTTACCTCAGAGGAATTTATTACCTATCTTCTGAAGCCGACTTTTGTCAATTTGTCAAACTCATTCTCCATCCAGTTTTGTGCCCTTGCTGGAGAAGAGTTCTGATCATTTAGAGAAGAAGCAGCATTGTGATTTTTGGAATTTTCAGCATTTTTGTGCTGGTTTTTACTCATCTTCATGGATTTCTCTACCTTTGATATTTGAAGTTGATGACTTTTGGATGGGGATTTTGTGTGGGGGTCCTTTGTGTTGATGTTGATATTATTGTTTTCTGTCTGTTAGTTTTTCTTCTAACAGTCAGGCCCCTCTTCTGCAGGTCTGCTGCAGTTTGCTGGAGATCCATTCCAGACCCTGTTTGCCTGGGCATCATCATTGGAGGCAGCAGAACAGCAAAGATTGCTGCTTGCTCCTTTCTCTGGAAGCTTTGTCCCAGAGGGCCACCTGCCAGATGCCAGCCAGAGCTCTCCTGTAAGAGGTGTCTGTCGGTCCCTGCTGGGAGGTCTCTTCCAGTCAGGAGGCACGGGAGTCAGGGACCCACTTGAGAAGGTAGTCTGTCCCTTAGCAGAGCTTGGGCACTGTGCTGGGAGAATCCTCCCTGTCAGGATCCACTGTTCTCTTCAGAGCCGGCAGGGAGGGACATTTAAGTCCACTGAAGCTGCACCCACAGCTACCCCTTCCCCCAGGGGCTCTGTCCCAGGGAGATGGGAATTTTATCTATAAGCTGCTGCCTTTCTTTCAGAGATCCTGCCCAGTGAGGAGTGATCTAGGGAGGCAGTCTGGCCACAACCGCTTTGCCACACTGTGGTGAGTTCTGCCCAGTCTGAACTTCCTGGCCTCCTTAGCACTGTCCGGGAAAAACTGCCTACACAAGCCTCAGTAATGACGGATGCTCCTCTCACACCAAACTCCATCATCCCAGGTCAACATCAGACTGCTATGCTGGCATTGAGAATTTCAAGCCAGTGTTTCTTAGCTTGCTGGGTTCCATGGGAGTGGGACCCACTGAGTGAGACCACTTGGCTCCCTGGCTTCAGCTCCCTTTCCAGGAAAGTGAACGGTTCTGTCCTGCTGGGGTTCTAGGCACCACTCAGTTGGAAATGCAAAAATCACTCGTCTTCTGCATAGGTCTTGCTAGGAGCTGCAGACCAGAGCTGTTCCTATTTGGCCATCTTGCCAGATTTCAATATACGCTTTTTGTTGAGTTCTTATTGTTTATATTCCTTTACAAGTTGTTTTTTTTTCTTTAGCTCACAACTAACATTACGATAGTTGTATTATTTTCATAACTAGCCTAGTATTTGCTTTATATTTATATGTTTTTTAAATCCTAAAAAGTATTCTATATTTATTCACATATTTCCCCATTCATCTTCATTCCTTTCTACATTTCCATGTTTATCTCTTGAATTATTTTCTTTTGTGGGAAGTGTTTTTCTTTTGCTAGAATAATTTTCTTCTGTATCTAGCTTTTTATTTTTGTTTTGTTTCATTTTATTTTTGGTGCATGTCTGCTGCTGATTCTTTCAGTTTTTGTTTGTCTGGGAATGTCTTTTTCCTTTACATTTGAAGGATAGTTTTTCTGGGAATAGAATTCTAGGTGAACAATTATTTCCTTAACAGCCATTTATTTAAAGATGTAATTCAACTGAATTCTGGCTTCCATCATATCTATTGAGAAGTCAGATGTCAGTCCTAAAATTGTTTTTTGTTTTTGTTTTTATTTTGAAAGTACTATTTTCCTCTGGGTGCATTTAATATTTTCTCCTCATGTTTGATTTTCAGCATTTTAGTATGATATGTATTTGTCCACTTTGCATTGTTATAAAGGAATATCTGAGATGAGAATTTATAAAGAAAAGTGTTTTATTTGGCTCATGGTTCTGCAGGCTCTAACAGCATAGCACCAACATGAGCTCAGCTTCTGGTGAAGTCTCAGGAAGATTTTACTTGTAGCGGAAGGCAAACGCAGAGCAGGCATGTCAACATGGTGAGACAGAGCAAGAGGGAGGCAGGAAGGAGGTGCTAGGCTCTTTAAACAACCAGTTCTTACGTGAACTAATAGAGCAAAAACTCACTAATCATGAAGGGGATGGCACCAAGCCATTCATGAGGGATCCACTCCCATGACCCAAACATCTCCCACTAGGTCACACCTCCAACATTGGGGATCACATTTCAACATGAGATTTCAGAGGACAAATATCCAAACTATATCAACATGCATGTGTGTAGTCTTCTTTGTAGTTATTCTGCTTGGGTTTCATTAAATTTCTTTAATCTTTGAGCTGAGATCTTTCAATAGTTTTCAAAATTTCTTGATCTTTATCTTGTCAAATATTGCCCCTGCCTAACTGTCTCTCCTATCTTTCTGAGACTCCAATTATATGTACATTAAAAGTTCTTACTATGTATTATATATCCTTCATGCTCTCTTACAAATATTTTCTTTCTTTTTGTTCTCAGTTCTTTAGTTTGGGTATTTTCTCTTGGCCAATTAAAAAATTTTTTTTGAATCTTAGCGATGTTCAGTATGTTATTAAACCCATTAACTGATTTTTAATTTCTGTAATTCTATTTTTCAATTCTAGAATTTCCATTTGTTCATTTTTAAATAGTTTTGAGATGGAATTTGCATTCCAAATAATTCATTTTTTAAAGTATATAATTCATTGGTTTTAAATATACTCATGAAGCTGTGTAATGCTTATCACTATCTAATTCTAGAACATTTTTTATCACCTCAAAAGAAACTCCATACCCATTAGTAGTCACTCCCATTCCCTTTCCCTATCTCTTCCCTCTTTACCCCACCCCCAGAAAACTACTAATCTACTTTCTGTCTATATAGATTTGCCCATCTAGACCTTTCATACAAATCAGATCATACAATATGTGGTCTTCTGTATCTGGCTTCTTTCACTAAGACAAGGTTTTCAAGGTTTATAAATTTATCAATTGATGAACATTTGGATTGCTTTCATTTTTTGGCTACTATAATAATGATGCTATTTTATTTGTGAACAACTTTTTCTGTGGACATATGTTTTCATTTTCTTTAAGGTATAAACCAGGGAGTGGAACTGTTGGATCGTATGGTAACTCTACACTTAACTATTTAATAATTGCCAGACTTTTTCAAAGTGGCTGTACCATTTTACATTCCCACTAGCAGTGTATTAGGGTTTCAGTTTCTCCATATCCTTGTCAACATTTCTCACTTTCTCTTTTTTATTATAGTCATCCCAAGTGGGAGGTGGCATCTCATGTCTATTTTGTCTGATATTATTGTAGCCACTCCAGTTCTTTTTTGGGAACTGCATGAATGGTATATCATTTTCCAATCTTTCAGTTGCAACTTATTTGTATATTTGAATCTAAAGTGTGTCTCTTGGAGACAACATATAGTTGGATCATTTTTTCAATTCATTCTACCAGTCTCTACCATTTGATCAGAGTGTTAACAATTACGATTTACAATTAACATAATTATTAATAAGGTAGAATTTATGTTTGCATTTTGGCATTTGTTTTCTGTATGTATTACATCTTCTTTTTGTTCCTTTATTCTATTACTGTTTTTCATGTTAAATAGATATTTTCTAATATACCATTTTAATTCTTGTTTTATTTTACTATATATTTCTAAGTTATTTTCTTAGTGGTTGCCCTAGGGATTTCAATTAACATCTTTAAAAAATATTTTTACAAGTAATTTTTTAAAATGTTATTATTCCCCAAAGAGGGTGCACCATTCCTGGAGGTACTGCAATACCTGGAGTGGACAGAGTAAGCTCCTATCCCATCTCCCTGCTCCAAAAACCCATTTAATATAGTATCCTCAGATAGAGGACATATCAGATATTAAACTTATAAGAACAGATACTACACTTGATCTTAGCCAAAACACTGAGAGGTGATCAAAACAATTGATTTTTTTTTTTTTTTTTTTTTTAGAAAGAAGTGGGGTCTCACATGCTGTCCAGGCTAGTCTCAAACTCCTGGGCTCAAGCCATCCTCTCACCTCGGCCTCCCAAAGTGCTGGGATTCAGGCATGAGCCACCACTCCTGGCCCTCAATTAATAACTTGACTTAAGATAATCTAGTTCATATTAACTTAATTTCATAGCATACAAAAACTATGCTTCATTTCTTCCTTCCATTATTCTATCATGAATATGGCACCTTTTTGTGTTATAAGCCCATTGACACAGTTTTATAATTATTGCTTTATGCAGTTGGTTGTCTTTTAAATCAGAAGATAAGAGAAATAAAAATATACTTATTCTGTTCTTTATATTTACCTACACAGTTATCTTTATTGGTACTTTTTATTTCTTCATACAAGTTTGAGTTACTATCTAGTACACTTTGCTTTTAGCCTGAAGGACTTCCTTTAGTAGCTAGTGATGAATTTAGTTTTATTTATTTGAGAGTGTCCTAAGTTCCCTTTTGTTTTTGAAGGGTAGATTTCCTGCATATAGAATTC